>NC_000010.11:6979696-7131212 GCF_000001405.40 Homo sapiens | reverse complement strand
TTGTGGAGAAAAGGGAATGCTTATACACTGTTGGTGGCAGTGTAAATTAGTTCAATCCTTGTGGAAAGCAGTATGGTGATTCCTCAAAGAGCTAAAAGCAGAACTACCATTTGACCTGGCAATCCCATTACTAGGTATATACCCAGATGAATATAAATCATTCTACCTTAAAGACACATGCATGCAGACACTAGGATTAAGATGATGAGGTGGAGGCAAGATTAGCTTGCAACCCCCACTCGGATGGACAGGGCAGTGTGTGGAGACTCACACTGTGAACTTTTGCAAGAACTACCTCAGGAGCATACCAAGAAAGCAGAGAGAATCCACAGACCCCCTGAAGGAACTGGAACGCTGCTGCAGGCTCCCTGAGATGCCGAACTACTGTGAGTCTGCTTGCTTTCTCAATAGGCTTGTGGTCTGGGGCGAGTTCTCAGTCCTGGCCACCAGATGCCTGGAAATAGACTTGGTGCCGTTGGGGGGATGCGGTGGCAGTGAGACCGGCCTTTAGGACTGTGGGCTGCGTGGGAGTGGGGTGAGACCTGTGACTGCTGGCTTTCCCCCACTTCCCTCATGACCTGTATGACTCAGCAGAGGCAGCCATAATTCTTCAGGGAATATTACTCCATTGGACTAGGAACCACACCCCCAATCACTAACAGCAGCCCCAGAAAGCCCTGCCCGAGGAGAGGGTGAGCTCAAACACACCTATCCCTGCCCCCACCTGGTGGTCTTTCTCTACCTGCTCTGGTAGCCAAAGACAAAGGTCATAATTTCTTGGGAGCTCTATGGCCCTGCCCACTGCCAGAGAAACCTGAATACTTAACCAGGTGTCTTGAGGGCAAGTTTGCATTTTCCCTAAAGGACCGCAACTGATGCTCTCTTGAAAGCGCTCCCTCCTGGCTGGAGGCCAACCAACACAAAACCAGCGCACTAAACAAAAACCAACCAAGGACCCTCACAGAGCCCACTTCACTCCCCTGCTACCTCTGCCAGAGTAGGTGCTAGTATTGACAGCAGCAAGACCTGAAGACAAATCACATCACAGGACTCTTTGCCGACACTCCCCAGTTCCAGCCTGGAGCCTGGTAGCTCTGCTGGGTGGCTAGACCCGGAAGGGCAAAAACAATCACTACAGTTCAGGTTTCAGGAATCCCCATCCCTAGGGGAAGGGGAGAGAGCACCACATCAAGGGAGCACCTCGTGGGACGAAAGAATCTGAACAGCAGCCCTTGAATCCCAGATCTTCCCTCTGACATAATCTACCCAAATTAGAAGGAACCAGAAAAACAGTTATGGTAATATGACAAAACAAGTTTCTTTAATTCCTCCAAAAGATCATACCAGCTCACCAGCAATAGATCCAAACCAAGGTGTAGTCTCTAAATTGCCAGAAAAATAATTCAGAAGGTTATTAAGCTAATCAAGGAGGCACCAGAGAAAAGTGAAGTCCAATTTAAATAAATCAAAAACATGATACAGGATATGAAAGGGATATTCTTCAGTGAAATAGATAGCATAAATAAAAAACAATCGCAACTTCTGGAAATCAAGGACACACTTAGAGAAATGCAAAATGCACTGGGAAGTCTCAGCAATAGAATCAAACAAGCAAAAGAAAGAACTTCAGAGCTCGAAGACAAGGCTTTCAAATTAAACCCAATCCATCAAAGACAAAGCAAAAAGAATTAAAAAAAAAATGAGCAAAGCCTCCAGGAAGTTTGGTACTATGTTAAACGTCCAAACCTAAGAAAAATTGGTGTTGCTGAGGAAGAAAAATCTAAAAATTTGGAAAACATATTTGAGGGAACAATTGAGGAAAACTTCCCCAGCCTTGCTAGAAATCTAGACATCCAAATAGAAGAAGTTCAAAGAACACCTGGGAAATTCATCACAAAAAGATCATCAACTAGGCACATAGTCATCAGGTTATCTAAAGTCAAGACAAAGGAAAGAATCTTAAGAGCTGTGAGGCAAAAGCAGATAACTTACAAAGGAAAACCTACCAGATTAACAGCAGATTTCTCAGCAGAAACTCTGCAAGCTAGGAGGGATTGGGGTCCTATTTTTAGCCTTCTTAAACAAAAAAATTGATTAGCCAAGAATTCTGTATACAGTGAAACTAAACTTCATAAATGAAGGACAGATACTTATTTTCCAGACAAACAAATGCTGAGAGAATCCACCACCACCAAGCCAGCACTACAAGAATTGCTAAAAGAAACATGAAATCTTGAAACAAATCCTTGAAATATACCAAAATAGAACCTACTTAAAGCATAAATCTCACAGGACCTATATAACAATAACACAATGAAAAAATACAAGGTATTTAGGCAACAAATAGCATGACGAATAGAATAGCACCTCACATCTCCATACTAATATCAAATGTAAATGGCCTAAATCCTCCACTTAAAAGATACAGAATGGCAGAATGGATAAGAATTCACCAACCAAGTTTCTGCTGTCTTCAGGAGACTCACGTCACACATAAAGACTCACATAAACTTATGGTAAAGGGGTGGAAAAAGATATTCCATGCAAATGGACACAAAGGTGACCAGGAGTAGTTATTCTTATATCAGACAAAACAAACTTTAATGCAACAGCAGGAATAAAAGACAAAGAGGGACACTATAATGATAAAAGGACTAGTCCAACAGGAAAATATCACAATTCTAAATATATATGCATCTAACACTGGAGCTCCCAAATTTATAAAACAATTAACCTGCTAGACCTGAGAAATGAGACAGATGGCAACACAATCATAGTGGGGGACTTTAATACTCCACTGACAGTACTAAACAGATCATCAAGACAGAAAGTCAACAAAGAAACAATGGACTTAAACTATACCCTACAACAAATGGACCTAACATATATTTATAGAACATTCTACCCAACAGCAGAATATACATTTTCCAAAACATTTGGAAACATTTTCCAAAGTAGCATATGATAGGCCACAAAACAAGTCTTAATAAATTTAAGAAAATCAAAATTATATTAAGTAGTCTCTGAGAACACAGTGGAATGAAATTGGAAATAAACTCCAAAAAGAACCCTCAAAACCATGAAAACACATGGAAATTAAGTAACCTGCTCCTGAATGATCACTGGGTCAATAGCGAAATCAAGATTGTAATTAGGCTGGGTGTGATGGCTCACACCTGTAACTCCAGCACTTTGGGAGACCAAGTTGAGTGGATCACCTGAAGTCAGGAGTTTGAGACCAGCCTAGCCAACATGGTGAAACTTGTCTTTACTAAAAAATACAAAAAAATTATCCAGGCGTGGTGGTGCATGCCTTCAGTCCCAGCTACTGGGGAAGCTGAGGCAGGAGGATCATTTGACCCAGGAGGCAGATGTTGCAGTGAATTGAGACTGTGCCACTGCACTTCAGCCTGGGCGACAGAGAGACTCTGTCTCAAAAAAAAAAAAAAAAAAAGAAATTAAAAAATTATTTGAGCTGAACAATAATAGCAACAAAACCTATCAAAACCTATTTTTATTTTTTATTTTTTGTACAGACGGGGTCTCACCATGTTGCCCAGGCTGGTCTTGATTCCTGGTCTCAAACGATCCTCCTGACTCAGTGACCCAAAGTGCTGAGATGACAGCCACAAGCTACTGCACCCACCCCCAATCTCTGGATAATACTTAATGTACAAATGTCCATTTGATCTGCATGGCCAACGGCCACGTGGCATGATGGTCTCTGAGCTATCTATTGTTCCTAAGGGAAGAGCTGGAGTTCTACCTGGCCCCATCCCTTCTCTACTTGCTTTCTGAAAATTGGGGTATGAATCAGTTTATTCGTGCCTAGGTAAGTAGTTTTTAGCACATTTTGTCCTCTTAAATAGTAGATCTTTAACAGGCTTTGTGAAAAGATAAAGGGTGACCGTGAACATCTTTTCTCCGACACCGAAGTTTGCTGCTCATTTTGTGGCAGTGTTAGGAGATTTGTGAATGGGGAGTTGAGTTGCACATTTTTTTTTTCTTTTGCAAAAGTCAAGAGCTCCAAATTGTTGACCTTTCCTGTGATGAAAAGTGGCTGTCAGAGTGTGCTGCCTAGCAGTAATAAATGCATTTAATCTACCCTTTTAGGTAAATATAACTTAACAGTGTGGGGAAAAATAATGACTTTTTGTAAGAATCTCATGCTATAAACAGAACATTTTGAAAATGAATCTTGGGAAAGGTTTCTATCCTGTGGCTTTTTTGAAGAAAATGGTTTAAGTGAATTGCTTATAGAAACTTTCATGTTTTCACACTTAACTTGGAAACCAATTTCCAGCCAGTTTGAAAAATTTAAGCAAAAGACTGTCAGAAGTTCCAAACCCATTTGTCAAAAATATTAAAATGCAGCACCTTCTGATTAGTAAATAAAAACAATTCATTGGCATCTGGGAAGAGGGAACCGCATTAGCTGAATTTCAACAAACATTTGTATGCTGAATGGAGGGGACTAAAAACTAAGATTTGGCACAATCAAAGCTTATCTGTCTTTGCCTAGATTACAACAGCCACTAAATCCACGTAGGGCAATAGTCTAAATTATATTAGACACAGATCCATAAACTGCTAAATCACAAGGGATTTAACCAATTTTTTAAAATGATGTATAATCAATTCCATTATGCTCCCTAAAATATTAGTCATAATCCCTTTTAGTAAGAGTACAATTTCGTACCTGCAACAAATAATTCAGTATTAAAATTTTAGCTCATCACTTTCAAATTTCCATCTGTATATATTTTGTAACACACATGGGATATTTGCATATAAATACAGGTAGTTGCATGGGATAATATGCATATGATATACATGGCACTATTACTGCAAGTATATACATGTACTTTACAAGTAATTTGTATATGCGTGTATGTATAATTTACAAATGAAATATATACATACTTTGGGAGTACATGCTAAAAACCACTTTTTTTCTAAGTTTCAAGACTAGTGGTATAGAGGAAAGAATATTTACGCTAGAGTCAGGAGACCCAAGTCCTACTCAAAGTCCTGCTGTGAAGACACAGTGCCTTATACAAGTTAGATAAGAGAATTTCAGAACTGAAGAGCCGAGAAGCATTGTTGCCTTACAGATTTTCTATGAGGATTGGGGGAGATATGATTCTGCCTGTTGATTGCCCGGCATTTAGCAAAGTAGACTCTCAGTAACTGGTGGTGTCTATGAGACATTAGAGATCACCTGGCCCATTGTTTAATGTTCTAGCTGAGGAAACAGAGGCAAGAAAAGAGAATGAAGTTTCTCCCTGTATTAGAATGTGTCACAGAAGAGCCACCGCTAAACTCCACTTGGGAGCTCTTTTGAGATCTCATATTAGTTTTGACTATAACTTCTGATGATTAATTCCTTATAACAGCATTTCCTCAGGATTTCTCCAAGTGTCACCCTCAAGTATAAGGCGGAGGAAAGCTTTGCAATCTGTACACAAACTGATTATCTGTGTAAGTCACTCTAGGCTCAACGCTTTTCATGCTAAATTGTCTACAGGTTGCCATTTTCTTGATTTTAATGTCTTCTTTCCAATGTCTTTGATTCCCTATGTCAGGAGCATTCTAGAAAGAACAGAAGAGTAAAGGGTGGGACCCTACAAGTTCTATCAGGCTGCAGACCATACCAGAAGCTAGGAAGAGAGTGACGTGTATGCTGACTGATTGGGAAGATCCTAAAGGGTAAGGTTGGTGTAAATCAGTGATGCTGGACTTTTTCAGAGGTCTTTCGTAACTCTGAGAATTTGATGAAATATATGGATCTTGTCTCTAGAAAATGTGTATATGAATGTGTATATGATATTTTACATAGGATTCCAGGGGATCACACAGTCCCTGGAGCACACCCACTGACCTCATGCTCTTCAAGGTCTACCTCTGACTGTACATTTATGAATACTCAGGGGAGGACATTCTGTACATAATGTCTGAGTATTCACACCATCATTCCAGCATGGTGTGTCTCTACCTGTTCCCTCCTTTAATTGGGTTTGGTGGCATTTGTAATGCACATGGGATATTTGCATATAAATACAGGTGGTTGCATGGGATAACATACGTATAACATACATGGGACTGATACTGCAGGTATACACATATACTTTACAAGTAACTTGTATATGTGTGTATGTATAACTTACAAATAAAATATATCCATACTTTGAGAGCACGTGCTGAAAACCACTTATTTTCTACTTTGATCAGTAAATCCCACCACCTGGGCAAAGTGTTTGAAAGTATATAGTGCTCACATAGACATTTTTACTGTTTCATTTCTCTTTTCTCCAATTTGGATCATTATTCCTTTAAAATGCTTCCCTTTCAAAGCTGGCTGTTTGACTTCTTTTCCAAATTTGGTATAATTGAAGCAAGCAATATCACTTCAGACTGCACCTGTTCTGGAAGATGTGTGATATGAATCCTTTTTTGTAATGAATGGAAGGGATTTAATGTGGATTGCTTGCTCATGGTGCACCACATGCTGCACTGAGGCTTTTGTTGAATCCTATCATTACTTCTTATCAAGTTATCACTAGGTTCAATTTTACTGCTTTTATTTTAGAGATGAAGAAATTAAAGCTCAGAGAATGTAGGTAATTAAGGAATGAATTAGGTACACAGACTCCTAGGTGACAGTCCTAGCATTAAACCCTGTCAATGTGGGACATCAAACACATTACTGAACCTTCTCCTTGAGTTTCCCATCTGTAAATTCTGCAAAGGTGTCTGCTGCTACTGACTCTTGTATATTTACTCAGATGAGTGATTATAGAGGGGAGGTTTTGACTGTGGTGATGCCATCTGTTTCCCTGACATGGATCTAAGTTTTGCTCATCAGTCAACAAAGTCTTTCTCCAGTCCCTTTCCCTCGACTGAGGTTTTGGGTGTGATGAACTTCATGATAGTGGACATTTGTAGCCCCGAGGAAGTATAGCTCAAACTAGCCCTCAAAGCAAGTCATGGGAAAGCCATTCTCATTCTGAATCCAAAGAAAGAAAGAAATGTGAAAAACCCATTCAAGAACGGTCTGCTAGTTTATTTGGAAACTTCAGATGGCTGTGTAGTCTGTCTGGGGAGCTGTCAGCTAACGGAATAAAACCCTCAAAATTGCTCTATCACTGGCCGACAAAGCTGAGTGAACATATGATGGTTTGAACAGGAAGCGTGTCTTGATTCCAAACGGTTGCTTGTGAGCATTAGTCATTTTTCATTATTAATGCAAATAAACATTATGTGTATGTGTATGCATTTATTTCTCAGCTGATGGCAAGACTGAAGCTTGGGATTAGAAACTGCGAGTTGATGTAAATTCTCAAGACTTCTGTACACAATGGGGGTAGTGTATTGATTGTGATGGGGCTGGTTAATGATGATGACTAGCAGAGATTCTCTTAAAGGGAACTTTTTAATAGCACTTGTGTATTACAAACCCATGAAAGTCATCTAGAAAACCTGCTGCAAAGTGGTAACCAGTGGAACACAATCTGACACAGCAAACAAATTCAAGTGTGTGCCATTGTCAAATGGCACCATTTTGAGACATATAAATGACAGGGCAATTAATGTCTTGGAACAGCCGCTTTGTAAGATTAAGGGAAGTGATTGCCTTACCCTACAAATAGATAAATTCATGGAAGGGTCCAGGTGTTGGTATTTGGAAGAAAGAATGAAAATATGTTTCTGTTTAACTCTCTAATCTTTATCAGGTGGAATCATGGGTCGTAGCAGGGGTGTGTTTGGAGTAGGGGAGAATTTGAAGCCTATTTTAGATTAGACTTCACAAAATTTCCAATATCAAACTGGTAGCACGTATCTTTTTTACTCTATTCTCATGGAGTCGATTGGCTCCTAGAAAGAACAGCAGGTGTGTGACTCAATTACAAAAATTCCCTCTTCACAGGGCACTGTTTTATATACATTGTGATCCAACTCTGAAAAAAAGGGATTGAAGTTCCATCAAGTAATTGATGAAACCATCTACATTTCTGCCTCTTTCAAATGATCTTTTACATTCTCCCTTCTTTCTAAAGTTATGTGAGGAGTACAGCCTTATCCCAGAAGCACATATATTTCTTCTCAATGGCTCAGTAATTATGTTGAGGAAGTATCAATACTGCCCGACAAAATGTCTCCATCAGATGCCATTACTAGAGTCCACTTTTAGTAATTAATTCATCACTACTTACGAGGTTGGCTGACCTAGAAGGTAATATTTTCCCCATCTAGGAAAGTAAATATTGTTGAATGACTTAAAATCTTTCAACAGCTTCCCAGGTATGTAGGAAATGGCCAAGAGCCTTGGCCCATAAAGCTTCCCCAACACCATTTCCCACCACTTGTTCACTTTACTCCCATGATCCTGCCTTTTCTTTTCCAGTGCCCTGAATGAATCAACCTCTCCCTGCCACAGGACCTTTGCACACGCAATTCTCTGCCTTCTTGGCTTCCTTTGCATAGTTAATTCTTATACATCCTTTAGATCTTAGTTCAAAGGACACTTTTCTGGAGAAGTCTTCTTTGATGCTATTTCCCTGCCCACCGAGACCAGATGAAATTCTTCCGTGATGCATCCTCATGATCCAGTGTTACTTTCTTTTAATGTACTTACCTTATAGGTTTAACAAGTTGATTGTTTGCATAAGACTGTAAGCTACATAAGAGGAGGGACTGTGGTAGTACATACAGTGGCTTAATAAATGTATTTTTAAAGGACTGAATGAATAAAAGACTTGACCAAGAGTCAGCAGGGGCCTCCGTCATTGGTATTTTCTCTCTGCCATCAGAATAGTTAAGTCTCAGATGTAGCTGCTCTTCCAGCTGGCTCCTGGAATCGAGAACGCACAGAGCAGAGCTGGATCGTCAGATCCATGGCACACAGCATGAGTGAGGATAACCCTCTGTGACTGCAGGCCACCAGGGTTTGGGGTTGCTTGTCACTGTGGTGCAACTTAACATAAGACGACTGGTAAACTCTACCGCCAATGCAGTGGAACAGAAAGAACCTGAGTTTTTAAATCAGACAGACCTACATTCCAGTCTTTTGTTTTGTTTTGTTTTTTTCTTGAGACGGAGTCTCGCTCTCTTGTCCAGGCTGGAGTGCAATGGCGTGATCTCAGCTCACTGCAACCTCTGCCTCCCAGATTCAAGCAATTCTTCTGCTTCAGCCTTTTGAGTAGCTGGGATTACAGGGGCCCACCACAACGACTGGCTAATTTTTGTATTTTTTTAGTAGAGATGGGGTTTCATCTGGCTAATTTTTGTATTTTTTTAGTAGAGACAGGGTTTCATCATGTTGGACCAGGCTGGTCTCAAACTCCTGATCTCAGGTGATCTGCCCGCCTGGGCCTCCCAAAGTGCTGGGATTACAGGCGTGAGCCACTGTGCCTGGTCACATTCTTTTTTTGGCATCAAGAATATCCTTATAAAAAGAAAATTCCTTCACATCTAGGAATCTCGGTGTCTACACATGTAAAATGAGGGTTAGCATGTCAACCTTGCAGGGTCGTTGTGGGGACTAGTGATGAAGTAGTATCATACTTGTTGCAGAGCAGGCCCTCAATTATGGTACTCTAATTATATTATTGTTAATGTTACATTTTTGTCGTTGTTGAAATGCCACCTATATCCCCAAGGCTATGACATTAATTGTGTCATACAGGTTTGTTTGTCTTGGTATCTCAAACAGAACAAATCAAAACTCCTAGTAAACTTCCCTGAAGAGCTCAGTAGACTTCATTTCCCATTAGGGAGCATCGAAGGTCACTGCGCATTGCTGCCCTCTAGAGGTGTCGGGTGAGAAGACCCCCATCCCCCCATAAAGATCAGAGAAGCAATAGATTTCTGATCTGAGCAGCTGTTGCCACAGGAACGACGGAAGCTGTTATAAATATAACAGTGATAAAAGCTGCTGTTTATTGAGTGCTCGTCATGTACCAGGTGCTATGCATAACTTATTGCATCTTCACAACATTACGAATCAGGGTCTACTGTATACTAATTTCACAGTTCAGAAAAGGGAGGTGCAGAAGCATTAAATCACTTGCCCAAGAAGATGCAACTATTATGGGGAGAACCTGAACTCAAACCTAGGGCTGGCTGACTCTAAGAAGCCCACTCTTGGACGGACGTGGTGGCTCACACTTGTAATCCCAGCAGGCCAAGGTGGGCGGATCATGAGGTCAGGAGTTCGAGACCAGCCTGGCCAACACAGTGAAACCCTGTCTCTACTAAAAATACAAAAATTAGCTGGGCGTGGTGGCGGGCACCTGTAGTCCCAGCTACTCGGGAGGCTGAGGCAGGAGAATCACTTGAACCCGGGAGGCGGAGGTTGCAGTGAGCGGAGATCGCATTACTGCACTCCAGCCTGGGCGACAGAGCGAGACTCCGTCTCAAACAACAACAACAAAACAAAACAAAACAAAACAAAACCCACTCTTAACCATCACACGATATTGGCTCTCACAGGCATGTCTGTAAGTCTGCAAAATCTGCTAGAAAGATATTGCCAACCAAAAATAAAAAAAAAACAACGTTGTTTGCTCCTACCCTGTTCCTTCCCTTTATGAGCAAATAATTCTTCTAAAAGCCAATGGGGATTCTATGTTGCAGAAACAAACATACAAAAAACCATATTCCTTGATCCTAACAGAAAAGAATAATAAAGCAGACTCTTTCTTGGCCCAGGTTGAAGAGTGAGTGTGTAAGGTCCCATCTTTCCTCATGGCCAGCATGGCTGCTCCTGTAATTATTTTGAAAGAGAAATCATCAGGCTTAGGTAGCGGTTGCAAGAATGAGCCTGAGGTGAGGTTGCCCGTTGGCCATTCTGTTACTATAATGATTTCAGCACTTATGAAAGAGACTAATGACTGAAATTGCTATCAACATTTGCAGCCAAAAGACTACATGTTGGAAATTGGATTTTCCTCTCTTCTTGCTAATGAGCTTTTCTCTCAAGGTGCTGATGCCTGGAGTGTACAGGAAGATTGGCAATTCTCTTTCTGTGTTTTACACGCCCGAATACCTGTACTGAAATTCAAGCAACACCTTTGTGATAGGGGATGGTTATATGAAACCATAAAAATATTGTTAGAGTAAGTGGCTCAGCTGGGCACACCTAAAAAACGTAAGAAGTGGAATCTTTAACTGGACAAATTACAAAATGTTTTCAAGTGGGTGTATGTATGTCAGGTTGTTCCAGTGCTGCAGTCGCTATGACCAGAAATAAAAGAGTTCTTTTTGTTTGTTCCTTTCGTGGCCTTGACGACGTTCTCGGGAGAAGCAGCTCAATAGTCAATATCAGATGGTTCTAGAAGAGTTGCTTCATAAGTACCACTGCTGTGATCTTTTCTGTAGGTTCCCATGACAATGCTATAGGGGCTTTGTTTGTTCATGGGAACTTGAGGAACACAGGGAATTCTTGTTCAATAATGAACGCAATGCGGCTTGGAAAAGACTCTTGGTAGACACGAACAAAAAAGTATAGCCAGAGCAGCCTTCAGAAATCATTCCTGCAGTTTTTGGAAGCGTTTCTCAAGGTCTGAATGGAGGCTGTGAAGGTGAGTCATGAATCGTAACAGCATTTCAACATGCTGATTCCTTGCTACTAACAAAGCGTGTGATAAGAATTTGGTGAGTCTTGTTGGCCAGTCTCCTCCAACTTTAGAGCTGCTCAGCTGGAGGGCTCCTGGGTAATCCACCCCACCCTATCGGCCTGGCAATTTGCTTGAAGGTGATAAGGTATACTGGTGACAACATTGATAAAGTTCTTCACCAGAAATTTTCCAAACTCAACCGAAATAAATATAGGCTGCTTTTCAGAAAAGATAGCGTCTGATAATCCAGGTGTTACAAATGATGGTGAAAAGTGGCAGTTTTCACAGTAGACATCTGGGGGTGGGAACGGGGATGTAAAACACGAAGAGCCATTTTCAGATCCACAGCAGCAGAGACTGCCATGATCAGCGTCCTGCTAAATCAGTGTGGATTCCTAATTAAATCTTCTTGACTTCCATGATGATAGCTAGGTTTCTTCATCAACTTGGGTTTGGCAGATCCTTCCTGCTGAAGCTCTCGCAGGGCCTTCCAGTACCCCCTGACATTTATGACCAAGTCTACCTCTCATTCCTCAGTGGGGTTTTCAGTTTACCTATATGTGCTAATGTAGTCTACACAAAGTTGGCCTTGAAGAAATAAAAGAACCCTAGCTATTTTGAAAAGTGAATTTATGGGCCAGGCACGGTGGCTCACGCCTGTAATCCCAGCACTTTGGGAGGCTGAGGCAGGCAGATCACCTGAAGTCAGGAGTTTGAGACCAGCCTGACCAACATGGAGAAACCCTGTCTCTACTAAAAAAATACAAAATTAGCCGGGCGTGGTGGCGTGCACCTGTAATCCCAGCTACTCAGGAGGCTGAGGCAGGAGAATCACTTGAACCTGGGAGGCAGAGGTTGCGGTGAGCCGAGATTATGCCATTGCACTCCAGCCTGGGCAACAAGAGCAAAACTCCATCTCAAAACAAAAAAAAAAAAAAAGAAAGAAAAGTCTAGGAACCTCTGGCTGTGGCTGTCACCAAGCCCTCTGCAGACAGGAGGCCGGGAGAGGTGAAGAACAGCAATCAGGGTGGCAATGAAAGCCATGAGTGCAAACAGAGCGCTCACCCTGGAGAGCCTCCTGCTCTGTGCCGGGCACTATTCCCAGTGCTTTGTACAGACTCGCTCATTCAATCCCTGCAAAAATCCTCTGAGGGGAGCACTTAAGAGCCTCTCATTTTCCAAAAGAAGAAACTGAAGGATAGATCTCTAGAACCCTGAAGTTCCTGTGTTCTCATTAACAATTCTATGACCTACTTTAGTTTTGAATGTAATTCCACAGCAGATGGCTGGAACGTGGTCTGGGGGATTAAGCGAGGTAAGAATGTTCTCTACTTCTTACTCACCGCTGGGTTCTCCTCTGAGAAGCTTTCGATGGCCGGCCCTGGCTATTATTGACTGCGCTTGCTTTTCACTCAGATCTTATTCCACTCAATTTAGGCTGCAGAGGCTGTACATATTCTTTGAAAATCACTCTCTGTCATCTCCATGCTAACACCCAAGCGACACAGTCTGCACAAAGATTCATCTGGTGAGCCTGAGGATTTGTACGTATTGTGTTGACGCTGAAAAACGGGGCCCTTTCATTTCCTTCTCCATCCTACTTACTTATTGTGAGTAGATTTCCCAGTGTGAAAATTCGTTTCAATATTTATTCCGTGCTCGAAGCTTTACTATTGTGTTCTGAAAGTTGAAGAGTGTACTTCTCCTTCTCTTCCCTTGTAGGTGAGCATGGAGCTCAGCCTCCCCACACATCAGTGAAAAGAAATCCCCCCAAACATACATTTTAAAAGAAACCCTTGAAATATGTTTAGAATAATATTAAACCTTAGCAAAAACTTTATCTATAAATGTTTATGTCATGGTGTGTTTTTCTCTTGACAAACTGTTACTAGTGTTTTTGTCATGTCTGAGAATTGGCATTGAGGACACTTCTTGTTCTTTCCAAAATGCAGTAAAGTTCACCACCTCTCCAAGAACAATGGGTGACCTAGAAAGCTGGGAATTCTGTTGCAGTGGGCCACCCCTTCTGAAATGATTATGATAGCAAGTTTTCGTTATTGTTTTATTCAAAATAAATCTCTGGCTTGAGTTATACCCTGTTGCCTTGTACTAGGCAGGTAAGACAAAAAAGATGCAAATCTGTCTGTTCACAAGAGGTTGGCCCCAGTAGTTAAATTTAAGGCACTGATGGTGTTCGATGCAAGACTGTTTCTTGGTCTATATATTTTCATGTGATTGTGAGTAATTCATTTACTGTTAAATGCTTAGTGCTCCATGCTCTTTTCAGGGATAGTTCAACACGGACACACATTATGACGACCATATGTTCTGAATTGTCTGAGTCACGTTTATTTAAAATGCTTTGTTCCATTGTTTCAGAAGTAATGTGAACTTCAGAAAGCACTTGATCTGATTTTGGGGTCTGAAAATATAGAAATCATAATCAATAACCCAGAAAAGTATATACTGTTTCCCATTTAAAAAGAGGAATTTCAGGTTAAAGATGATTCTGTTCTTACTTGTGTATGCCCCTTGACTGATGATCATTCCTTGCCCTGATTGAGGATTTATGGTGGTTAATAGTTATAAGCACTTCGACCATCCTTAGCTTTTTTGATTCTTGCAACATCCCTAGGAGATTGTTCCTATTGTTTCTCATGCTTTGCAGGTGAGAACATGCAGCTTGGAGAGATGTTGAGTCTCTTGTGCAAGGTTATAGAGGTCAGCAGTGGTTAAACCTTGATATGAATTTCAGAACCCTTGATCCTTTTTTTTGTTTTGTTTAGAATTGGGGGTCTCGCTCTGTCACCCAGGCTGGAGTGCAGTGACATGGTAATAGTTCACTGCAGGCTTGAACTCCTAGACTTAAGCAAATCTACCTCGGCCTCCCGAGTTGCTGGGATTATAGGTGTGAGCCACCATAGTTGGCACAGCTCTTGATCTTAACTGTTTCACTGAACTGTATTTCTACAAGAATGCAGATAATTTAACATCTCTTTTATTGTCTTCAATTCCCAAATTTAAGAGGTCATTTTCTCCTTCTTGTCTTCAAATCAGATCTTTCTCCTCCTGGAAACTACCATCTGGTCAATGTGGCAAAGGCCTTGCCTTGCAGCCCTGCAGTCTCTTGCCCATCTGTGTGGCTCCTTGTTTGGTTCCATTTCCCCCTATCTAGGGGTGTCTTTCCATGCTGGGTCTGACATATGGAGAATAAGAGACTTAAGTAGGCTGGTTTGTGTTGACAGAGTTGTGTGGCTGTGATGGAGCACCTCACTGTGCAGGTTCCTTTCTTTAAAAAAAAAAAAAAAAAAAAAAACTTTTATTAGGGTCTTGCTCTGTTACCCAGACTAAAGTGAATGCAATCACAGCCTCAAACTCAGGCATAAGTGACCCTCCCACCTTAAGTCCCCTAAGTAGCTGGGACGACAGGCATGAACCACATGCCCAGCTATTTTTTTTTTTTCATTTTTTGTAGAGACAGGCTGGTCTCCTGGGCTCAAGTAATCCTCCTGCCTCAGCGTTCCAAGTAACTGGGACCACAGGCGTGTGCCACCATCCCCAGCTAATTTTTAAAAACATTTTCATAGAGACAGAGTCTTGCTATGTTGCCCAGGCTGATCTCGAACTCCTGGGCTCAAGAGATCCTGCATCCTCAGCCCCACAAATTGCTGGGAGTACAGACATGACCCATTGTGTCCCACTGCTGTGCAGGTTTCAATTCAGCCTTCTTATAAGAGAAAAAAGGATGATGGACCTTGCAAACACATGCTCCCCTGCTAGGACTTAGGAGCAGAAGTTTCTGTGGGATGGTCTGAAAAAGACACTGCAAACCCGCGGCAGACTTTTCTTCCACCATCCGTTGCTGCTGTGACGTTCTTCGGAGTGAGTGGTGCTGGCTAAGTGCTGGTGTCATTCTCTGAGGACACATCTCAGGTCCCTTCAGGAAAAGCAGATGTGTACACAAATCTATTCAGAGTGGTTATTTAAAATTACTGTTACTAGTTGCAGATTCTCTTCTTTGTAAGCCCAAGGTGGCAATTGATGTTGCTGAGTGCTGGGTTTTAGATCAGCTCTGCCCTCAGAGCCAAGTTTCCCAAAGTATCTAATTGCAAAAATGGATATCACATTCTGCATCTAGGGATGCCCCAATTCTGCTGGAAAATGCTTGTATCCTAGAAGATTCCCAAGTTCCCTTTGAGAAGAGCTATGTCCATTGCACTTAAGTTAAATAAGAACCCAAATCACTCCGCAAGCAGGGGAGAAAGAGAGAGGATGATGGGGCTCAAAGGAACCTCAGGCAATAACTCACCCAACCCTTGCATTTTCCAAATAAAGAAACTGAGCTCAGATATTATCAACGACTTGCCCATAGCTCAAAAACACACCTATGGCAGAGAGAGGTCTGGAGTCCAGATAATCTACCTCCTAGGCCAATAGCAACTCTCACCTCCCCACTGGCCACCAGAGAATGGAGCATTATGGGGAGGATTCATCTCTTCATTTATTCATTCATTCACTCACTCACTCATTTGTTTTCTATACCATGGGCTGACCCAAATCATGAAATCTAGAAAACTTTGAGTCTTTATTCTCCATCACCCCACATGTCCTGTCGCTAAACGTTGACAATTCTATTTCCTAAACATCTCTCCCTATGGATCGATTGCTGCCTATCATCCCTGCCATTATCTTATTTGAGGATCTGATTACCTTCGAACCAGGCTTTTAATAGCCTACTCTAACAATGACATTTGCCCCATTCAATTATGTAATAAAGTGCTTCCAGAGGTGACTCTGTGCTACATGAGCACTGATCACTGGGGGCCCACAGTGAGCCAGGCATGGGTCCTATACCAAGATGCATGGGGTCCAGAGGGCAGACAGGCACTTTCCATACTGTAGACAAGTGCTTTTTTGGGCAGCCAGCACAGGGTGCCACAGGGGCTCAAGGAAGGGAGACCTTAGCTCATCTTGGATGGTCAGAGGAGCTTCCTCGAGGAGACACCTGAGATGCAGAGGACAAGCAGCACTTAGCAAGATGGGTGGCAGGGAGGAGGGGAAAGGGGGTTCCAGGAGAGAGAAGCCACCTGCAAAAAGGTCAGGAAGTAGGAGAGATGTGGCAGGCACTGCGGGGGAAAACGTGGAATGTGACCCGGAAGAGGTGAGCAAAGCGCCGGAGAAGGAGGCAGGGTTACCACCTCAAAGGTTTTTTAAGGCCATCCACTAAGGAGCAGGTGAGTCTTTCCAAATTCCTCTGCAAGGAAGAATTCAGTACTCTTCTAAGACAGGTGCTGATGTCAAAACCAGAGCTCCCGGAGAATCTGGTGGGATCAGTGCTCGCCTAGCGGCCATTCAGAGCATGTGTCATTACTGCCCAGCAATGTCCAGGCCAAGCGGGCTGGTGAGGGCAGCAGGGGTTTGACCTCATGGGAACATGCCCGCCTTGTTTGTTGTTTGTGGGTGTGCTCCACTGTGCAATCCTGGTGGACCCCGGTAGACAGGTTCACTTAGCCTACTTGGGGAATTGTTTTTATATTAAAGAAAAACTCAAACTTCACTTTTTTGTTAGCATCACTTTCTACACGGCCCAGCTCGAGAGATAACACTGTAATAAACAGTCACCAATGTCTTTCCTGCCTTTGGCCCTGTAGTAATTTGCTCAGGTTGCTGTAATGGAGTACCACGGACTGGGGGCTTCAACAACAGAACTTCATCGTCTCACAGTTCTGGAGGCCAGAAGTCTAAGATCAAAGTGGTTCCTTTTCCAGGCTCTGAGGGAGGATCCATTCCAGGTCTCTCTTCCATGGCTACCATTGTCAGCGGCCACCAGGATCTATTCCAGGAACAGATCACGGTGGCTGCCAGCATCCTGGAAGGTCCTTGGCTTGCAGACGCATCACTTCACTCTCTGCCTTCTTGTTCACATGACATTCTCCCTGTGTGTGCATCAGTGACCAGATTTCCACACACACCCCTGTTTTTTTTTTTTTTTTTTTTTTTTTTTTTTTTTTTTTTGAGACAGAGTCTAGCTCTGTCAGCAGGCTGGAGTGCAGTGGCACGATCTCGGCTCACTACAACCTCTGCCTCCCGGGTTCAAGCAATTCTCTTGCCTCAGCCTCCTGAGTAGCTGTGATTACAGGCATGTGCCACCATGCCCAGCTAATTTTTGTATTTTTAGTAGAGATGGGGTTTCATCATGTTGGCCAGGCTGGTCTGGAACTCCTGACCTCGTGATCCACCCACCTCAGCCCTCCCTAAGTGCTGGGATTACAGGCGTGAGCCACTGCGCCTAGCCAAGTTTCTCCTTTTCATAAGGGCACCAGTCACACTGGATTAGGGCCACGAGTGACCTCATGTAAACCTGATTTCCTCTGTAAAGACTCCATCTCCAAATAAGTTCAACTTTTGAATGGGTCATGACCCCAACATAACTTTTTTGGGGAAGAGGACACAGTTCAACCAAAACATCTCCCATTGCTGCTGTCCTTTCTTTCCCCATGTTCATCCCTTACAGTGGCATCAGGAGAAGCTGGGAGGTGAACAGTCCATGAAAATGAATAAGCATAGAACTGTAAAGGAAATATCTAGGGACACTATAGGCTGGTGGCTTTCAAACTTTCAGCAGTTCTGATTCAAACAAAAAATGTACTGCAATTCCAGCATGTCTAACCATGGGGAGCTTCTGGTTGATGCTGGATGTGGGCTCCAAGGAAAGAGACCATGGCCAGAGCTTTACCTGCTCAGCCTCTCCCACCCCACCAAGGCAGCCTCAAAGTGCCTCTGTGGAAAATAGTATTTAGTGCTTGAATGAAATTTCCTTGCACCCTGAAAAATCCATCCAAGGTCTTGTTCATTTTCTACATCCTTTCGAAATATAGGTGGCCAAGTCAGCCCAGAAAACTCTTGAAAATGGGCAACTTAATTAAATTCAATTTCAATACACACAGAATGAGGGTCAACCATATATGCTAGTATCATAGGAGAGGTGACCTTGTTTCCAAAGCATTTCTTGCTCTTTAGATAGTGGTGCCTGTATTAGTCCGTTCTCACACTGCTATGAAGAAATGCCTGTGACTGGGTAATTTATAAGGAATAGAGGTTTAATTGACCCACAGTTCTGCATGGCTGGGGAGGCCTCAGGAAACTTAAAATCATAGCAGAAGGTGAAGGGGAGGCAGGCACCTTCTTCACAAGGCATCAGGAGAGAGAGAGTTCAGGGGAAACGGCTACTTTTAAACCATTAGATCTCCTGAGAACTCCCTCATTCTCATGAGAACAGCATGGGGGAACCATACCTATGATCCAATCACCTCCCACCAGGCCTCTCCCTCCACACGTGGGGGTTACAATTTAAGATGAGATTTGGGTGGGGACACAGAGCCAAACAATATCAGTGCCAACTACCATTTCCCCGGAATCTCCCTGAGGCTTGAAGAGTCCTGGTTGCTTCTTAGGGTCCTGACAGATTATGATGGCTTTGCGTTTCTCAGCTTCCCATGTTGAAATGGGAAAGCCTCTTAGTGCCACATTTCCTCCAGTCCACCTGGTGCTGCCACCTTGCTGGCAAGGGGGCACATAGAAGCCATGGTGCCTGCCCTTCCCAAGTTCCAACCCTCAGCTAATACGTAATACTCCTTAAAGTGTTATTCAGTATACGGTGTAATCTCTCTCTGCACATCAGGCTTCACATGCAAAAGAACATTTTTTTTAAATGGGAAACTCAGGGGAGAATCAGAGCTTCTGCTGATGTTTTAGAGCGTAAAATGGGATTTTTCTTCACGTTCATGACTCACCTTCTCTGGTTATTCCTTTTTGCTTATGCAATGCTATTATAACAACTAGCTATAAAATAAAAACATAGCCTACAGGAATCAGCTGACTTGGATTCCCATGGAAATATGATTCAGACTCCATGACTAATATCAGGGAAACTGATTACAAAAACCATTAGTCACAACTTTTATATTGAAATCCATGTTTTTCCTCTCTTACCTCTTGAATGTAAACTGAGGTCCTTCTTCAGAGATGAGAGAAGGGTGGTGTGAGGCTCCCATCC
Organism: Homo sapiens; assembly: GCF_000001405.40. NCBI lineage: Eukaryota > Metazoa > Chordata > Mammalia > Primates > Hominidae > Homo > Homo sapiens. The sequence goes on along the minus strand of NC_000010.11, from coordinate 7,111,538 downwards.
TTCCAGAAGAACAGGGGGTGAGGTCTTCAGAAGTGAGGAAGGGCTCCTCATCACCATCCATGATGAAGCACAGCAGGCAGATGCTCTGATGGAGGTGACACTTTGCATTTATTCCTATCATGCTATAAATGACTGATTAATCTGTTTTTGCTCTGAGCACAGGTATTGACAATGAAAGATAGAGACAAAGTAGGAAAATGCTACATTGGGAGGGGCTGCCATGAAGTTTAGAATGGGAGAAAGGGGAGGTTGCTGACTTTGCGTTTTCTCCCTGATGACTTTATGTTCTACCTCCGCACCACAAAGCGCAATACCTGGTAAAAGAAAGTCTGGGATTTAACCTGTAAGAGGAATCTGTTTGTTCCCTGGATGTTTTAAAATTTCTTTTTTTCTTCTTTCTTTTTTCTTTTTCTTTTTCTTTTTTTTTTTTTTTTTTTTTTTTTTTGGGACGGAGTCTTGCTCTGTTGCCCGATCCTGGCTCACTGCAACCTCACCTCCTGGGTTCAAGCAATTCTCCTGCCTCAGCCTCCTGAGTAGCTGTGATTACAGGCATCTGCTACCACGCCTGACTAATTTTTGTATTTTTAGTAGAGATGGGGTTTTGCCATGTTGGCTAGGCTGGTCTTGAACTCCTGACCTCAAGTGATCTGCCTCCCAAAGTGCTGGGATTACAGGTGTGAGCCACTGCACGTGGTCAAGGATGCTTTAGAATTCTCTGGAAGAGCCACAGGCAGGAGTTAACTCTTTAAAGGCTGCATTTCCCTGGGCAACCAAACACTGAGGGTCTTAGGAATTTGCACCGTAAGAAGATATATACACCTTGATATTCCACATGGTATCACTTGCCAAGAATGGGTCTTCTCATTGTTAGGAAAGAAAAGTTGGGAAAAACTTAATTTGGATTTTGAGAGGTGGAAATATTGAAACTTTCACCTGTAAAGAAAGTTTATTGTGATTTAATTATAACCTCTGGTATCATGAAAAGATGAAAGATCAACGATTCTGAAAGAAATGAATGCCTTAAAACCTGATGTTCCCATTGAGACATCAAGGTGAGATTTCTTTGGATGTTCAAGTAGCTGCGTAGTGGCCCTTTCCAATGTGGTTCTGTGTGTGCTCTCAGAAATTCCTGGACTCTGGTCTGAATGTGTCTCCCTCCAAATTGCTGTGTTGAACTCCTCATTCCTAAGGTGATCATATTAGGAGGTGAGGTCTTTGGGTGGTAATTGGGTCATGAGGATGGAGCCCCCATGAATGGAATTAGTGCCCTTATAAAAGAGACCCCAGAGAACTCTGTTACCCCTTCTGCCATGTGAGGACACAGGTAGAAGATGGCTGTTTATGAACCAGAAACCAGGTCTTCACCAATTACTGAATCTGCTGACACCTGGATCTTGAACTTCCAGCTTCCATTACCATAAGAAATAGATGTCTGTTGTTTATAAGCTGCTCAGTTATGGTGTTTCGTTACAGCAGCCCGAGGGACTGCACCACATAGAGTGAATGAATGAGTGATGGAGCCTAGAGCCACCTAACACATTAAGGAACAGAAGGTTATCCCAGTGGGGCCTGCAGAGTGGGGTGCTCTTTCCCCAGTTGCTCTGCCCTAGGGATTCTTTTTTTTCAGCGGGGTGTGGGGGATGAAGATCTCACTCACTTTATTTTAACTTTGATAGCACAGGAAGTGTATATTGACACTATATCTGATTCAAACAATTAGTTGTCTTTGAAATGACTTTACTGCAGAATAAGTTTAACAAGTATGCCTTGTTTTACTTTGTAATTTTTTTTTGATTTCACATAGCTTTATTTTTATATCTGTTTTGTTTTTATATTATTTTATTTCCATTTACGTTACTTTTTTCTTTTTTATTTCAATAGTTTTTGGGGTATGAGTGGTTTTTGGTTACATGGATGAATTCTATTATTATGATTATGATTATGATTATGAGATTATTTAGAGACAGGGTCTTACTCTGTCACCTCGAGTGGAGTGCAGTGGTGCAATCATAGCTCATTGCAGCCTGTAATTCCTGGGCTCAAGTGATCCTACCACTTCAGCCTCCTGAGCATCTGGGACTACAGGTGTGCGCCACTATGCTGGGCTACTTTTAAAAAAAAATTTTTTAGTAGAGACAGGGTCTTGCTATGTTGCTCAGGCTGGTCTTGAACTCCTGGCCTCAAGCAATCCCCCCACCTTAGCCTCCCAAAGCACTGGGATTTCAGGTATGAGACACCACACCAGGCCCTGGATAAGTTTTTTTAGTGGTGATTTCTGAGATTTTGGTGCACCTGTCACCTGAGCAGTATACATTGCACCCAATAAGTAGTCTTTTATCCCTCATCCCCCTCCCGCCTTTCCCTCTGAGTCTCCAAAGTCCATTATATCATTCTTATGCCTTTGCATCCTCATAGCTTAGCTCCCACTTATGAGTGAGAACGTCCAATATTTGGTTTTCCATACCTGAGTTATTTTACTTAGAATAATGGCCTCCAGCTCTGTCCAAGTTGCTTCAAACACCATTCAGTGTGAATGAAGGTACTTTTCCCTGAATCACTGGAAACCTTGAGACAGGGGAGCTCATGGCACCTGAAGAGGGAATAAGTATAGGAAGAGAGAGAAAGAAGATATGAAAATAGGGTGAGGATCCTCAACCTGCCCCAACCTGCCTCAGCTGCCGACCTCACGTCCCAGGTAAAGGCTTGGCAGGTGGAGTTCCCAGCCTAGCCGGATCCTTGTTTCCATTAAACCCATGCTGATTTTGTCTGTTTTTATTTAACACTTAATATAAAGGAAGTTTATTGACTTATTTTATTATGAGTGTGATGCGTATTTATTAACAAAAAGTTAGAAAGCATAGATAAACAAAAAGAGAAACGTTTTAAAAATCACAAACCTCACCTACTTGAAGACAAAAAATGACATATAAATACATTTCATGCATATAGAGGCATCTGACTCCTAATTTTTTCACTTAGCGATATATGACGACTGCTTTTCCATGTATAGAGATGGCCATATCAGTTCGTTTTCATGCTGCTGATAAAGACATACCCAAAACTGGGTAATTGATAAAGAAAAAGAGGTTTGTTTAATGGACTCAGTTTCACATGATTGGGGAAGCCTCATAATCATGGCAGAAGGAAAAGGAGGAGCAAAGGCATGTCTTACATGGCAGCAGGCAAGAGAGCTTGTGAAGGGAACTGTTGTTTATAAAACCATTAGATCGCAAGAGACTTATTCACCACTACATACTAACAGTATGGGAGAAACTGTCCAAATGATTCAATTTTCTCCACCTGGCCCTGCCCTTGACACATGGGGATTATTACAATTCAAGGTGAGATTTCATCGGGGACACAGCCAAACCATATCAATGGCCATTGTCCTTTCTAATGGCTGCAATTAATCCATTCTATTGATGAACCAAATGTATTAACAAATCGCCTATTGAATCACGTTTGTATTGTTTATGGTTTTGCTCTTACAGTGTTGTAGCAGGTATCATTGTATAACTTTTCCTTGTGCCTGTGCATCCATTCTAGTTACATATAAATATATGTAAAGAGAGAAAGAGAAAGGGAAATACTTATTTTAAGGAATTGGCCCATGTGACTATAGGGACTGGCAAATTTAAAATCTGCCAGGTGGGCTGGCGGACTAGAAACCCAGAGAAAAGCCTGTGTTGCTGTCCCAGTCCTAAGCTGACTGCTACAGGATCCCCGCTGCTCATGGGAGGTCCGTCTTTGTGTTCTATTCAGGCCTTCAACTGACTGGGTGAGGCCCATCTACATTATGAGGGCGATCTGCTTTACTCAAAGTCCACTGATGTAACTGTTAATCTCCTCCCAAAACACCCTCATAGAAACATCCACATATCTGGTCACCATGGCCCAGGCAGCCTGACACATAAAATTAACAGTCACAGAAGACCTGATGGCTGGGGGATTTTTATTCACTCGTGTTATTTATATGGTCAGCCTACTTCTTTGTAACGTATGCATGTTGTTTTATGCCGTGTGTGGGATGTGACTCGGTGGCTTAGTATTTGGCTGGGTGGAGATTTCCTGGAACATTGAAGCTGCCCTGAGTAAGTGGAAAATGTGGTGGGTGAGATCTTAGGGGAGTGAAGGAGACCAGGCCTCCCAAGCCTGAGCCATTTATCTCCCTCCTTAACACTAGTCTTTCACATTGCTGGGAACGTGAACCAGCATCATGCAGCTTTGGAAAAACCCAAGCCACTCTTTCTACTGCAAACACAAACAGAGAGGATTCATGGACGTGGAAGCTACATGAACTCTGATCTGTGCTGCTTTCAGGAAATGCCCTTCATAATTTATTCTGGGGATTCCATTAAGAATCTGCACTTAGTGTCTTCTTCTAACTTCAGAAGACTTATGTATTACAAATCAATACACAGATAAATGTATTCTCCACGTTTGTTCCTCGCTTTGGGGCATGGGGAAGACCTTCCCACTATCCCACATCCTTGACTGGAATCACTAGAGAGGAGGCACTAGGGGCCAGCCTCTGTCCTCTCAGCGGGGAATCCAAAGGGAGCTCAGATAGAATGAGTTACGGTTTTGTAAAGTAGCATTGGCCCCTACTAGAAGATATTTGACATTGATCATGCAACATTTTTGCAAACAAATGGCTAAATTAGGCTTCAAACTCCTCTTGTGACTCATTTATGTTCCTTAAAAATACAAACACACACAGAGAGATATATAAATATTTTACATATAGAATACATATGTAAATTAAATTTATCAAACAGATAATATACATAGATATATATGTATAGATTATATTTATAGTTTTATACATTTACATTCTTTATATATTGTATGTTTGTATAGCAATAAACATGCAGGTATATTTTTGCATTCATTTGTTATATATAAAATACATAATTGAAATTTAATTTATTTTTCCAATAGGCTCTGCTCTTTCTGCTCACTTCTTCTACCTGTGTGGTTTTATGCGTAGGGAGAAAAATAAGTGAGCCCTTTTTCCTGGAGCTTAGTACTATTACTAAAAACTGGCATTAACTGAGGGCTTCACACACATTTTGTGAGTGATTATCTCAGTCTCCTAATTTTGACCATAGGTCTACCAACCTTCGTTTTCCTCTTTGTTATTATGAAATAAAAATCTATTTCTCTTTTCTCACACTTTTCTCCTTCACTCGTTAGCCTATTGCATACTTCAGATAGTCATGGATTGTAACAGGAAGTAAGACCCATGTCCCATATTTTTTTTCATAAACATCTGAGCAACCACATTTGCTGAAACATTTAAGTTCTAGAAATATTCAGGTCCAATTTCATTCAAAATTATCCACCCAGCCTCATCAAATTCAAATTGGTTCGCAAATAATGTGTTCCAACTCTGGCCGATTGATTGCTTGTTAATTCTCTGCCTGGCACTGCAAATTCCTGGTTAGCCTGAAAATGAACATTTCATTCTAACTTCCTGTGGTTTCTTCTTGGGTGGGTGTTTGCGAGGCTTTGAAATTTTTCCCTCATCCTTAATTGTTAAGATCAGCTAATGATTTAAAGCCCCTGAGCGATTATGGGAAGACCAGAAATCGCGGAGCAAGCTCAGTGATCCCCCAACTCTATAGGGCGAATCCATCTATAAAGGACAGTGTGGAACCTTGAACTGACACCAGATGAACTAAATAAGAAAAATCTCTATGAGGCTTCCTTTCAGATTTAACCTGTACCAGTGAACTCAGATAGGTTTGAAATATTTGTTTGTCATCTTCTGTGGGCATGGGGCTGGGCTGGGTCTAGCACGGAGTAGAGTATGCCTTACAGACATTGTCTCATTCTGTCGTAGGTGATGCTGGCTGTGATTTCCATTTATCAAGGGAATGAACAAGGTATATCAAGGCCAAGTGACCTATTCTGTGACTCTGGCATCTGGCCTCTAGTAACACAACCAGGCCAAGAATCAGGCTGACTCTCCCAGTAATTCAGGGGAAGCAATGGCTCCATTTATAGTACTTGGAGGGAAATTCACTTTTCTTCTTTTTTTGTTAACACATCTAAATTGAGTTAGTATGGGTATATAAATGTGTTTTTCCTGAATATCAAGAGAATTTAAAAGAGCTTAATGGCCCCCAGGTATGATTACATTATGTACATGTGAAATCAACAAGCAAATCCTTAATTTTAAATACTTCTACACCTAAAGCTACTAGTGGCTACCATTTATTGAGTGTTCTCTATGCTAATATTGATTAAGGCATTTATTCATTTATACTAAGAAAATATATTAAGATAGGCTTAAAAAAAACAAAGAGCACAGCAAAAGAAGCTATCAACGGAGTAAACAGACAACCTACAGAATGGGAGAAAATATTTGCAAACTATGTCTCTGACAAAGGTCTAATATCCAGCATCTAAAAGGAATTTAAAAAAATTTACGAGAAACAACCCCATTAAAAAGTAGGCAAAAGACATGAACAGACACATGTGGCCAACAAGCATATGAAAAAATTCTCAATATCACACTTTGATATTCATTTGATATTCGTTAGAGAAATGTAAATCATTAAAGAAATGTAAATCAAAACCACAATGAGATACCATCTCACAGTAGTCAGAATGGCTATTTTAAAAAGTCAAAAAATAACAGATATTGATGAGGTTGTGGAGAAAAACGAACACTTATACACTGTTGGTGGGAATGTAAATTAGTTCAACCATTGTGGAAAGAAGTGTGGCAATTCCTCAAATAATTGAAAACAGAAATACCATTCAACCAGAAATCCCACTACTGCCTAGATACACAGAGGAATATAAATCATTCTACCATATAGACACATGCACACGTATGTTCACTGAAGCACTATTCACAATAGCAAAGACTTGGAAACAACCTAAATGCTCATCAATGACAGATTGGATAAAGAAAATGTGGTACATATACACCATGGAATACTATGCAGCCATAAAAAAGAACAAGATCATGTCTTTTGGGTGAATGTGGATGGAGCTGGAGGCTAGTATCCTTAGCAAACTAATGCAGGAACAGAAAACCAAATACTGCATGTTCTCACTTATAAGTGGGAGCTAAATGATGAGAACTCATGAACAAAAAGAAGGGAACAACAGACACTGAGGTCTACTTGATGGGGGAAGGTGGGAGGAGGGAGAGGAGCAGAAAAGATAACTATTGGGTACTGGGCTTAGTAGCTGGGTGACAAAATAATCTGTACAACAACCCCCCATGACACGAGTTTACCTATGTAACAAACCTGCACATGTACCCCCAAACTTGAAATAAAAATTAAAGAAAACTACAGTGGTCCCTTGGTATCTGGGGGATGAGTTCCAGGTCCCCTGTGGATATCAAAATCTGTAGATGCTCAAGTGCCTGCTATAAAATGGCATAGTATGGACATATAACCTATGTACACCCTCCCATATACTTTAAATCTTCTCTAGATTACTTATAATACCTAATACAATGCAAGTGCTATGTAAATAGTCGTTATACGGTATTGTTTAGGGAATAACAATAAAAAAGTCTACGTGTTCAGTACAGATGCAATTTTTTTCCAAGTATTTTTGATCCATGGTTTGTTGAATCCACGGATGTGGGACCCATAGATATGAAGGGTCAGTACTAACAGCAATTCCTGGAGCAATTCCTTGGATTATTGGGAATCCAATCATCTTTTATCTATGCCAGTTATTTGCCTTCTAGACCTTCCCTCATCTCCACACATTGAAATCCTACCCCTTCCTTCAAAGCCCATCCTGCTGAGGACATTAACTCCATTAAATTCTTTTCAGGTGACTTCGTTCTCTGCTAAATTCCCGTAGCATTTTATAACTCATATATTTTGTTGTGTAATGTCATTGAGTTTGTCCTGCTTTCCCGTCTAAGATGTAAGCTTTCAGGTGACAGTTTCTGTGCATTTTTCATTTTTTTGTATTCCTTGACACAATGAGTCATGCATGAAGTAGGTGCTCATTCTGTGTCGGTTGAATTAGTTAGCTCTCAAAGTTGGAAGGGACCATAGATTTCATGTAGCCCAGCTGAGACTACACCTCATACATGCCCCGATCCTGTAGATCCAGATGTTGCCACATGATTAGCTCTTGCTAGTGGATATGCACAGAACTCACGGCCAGGATCTCTACAAAGCATTTGCACATACAGTAAATCCTCATAATTTAAAATGCAAGAGACCGGGAACAAATGGGCTTTGAAGTAACTGAGTTCATATTAACCAGAGGTTTTATTAAAAACCAGAGAGCACTCACTTGACCAGAGAAAGACAGCTGTTTTGAACAATGACTATGATGCTGCTCAATGATGCTTGCATTTCCAAGGTATTTTTAGTCACCTCTGTTGATGATGATGATGATGACTAAAAAAGCACTCTGCAGCTCATAAGGAAATGCACACAGGCTGAGTGATTACTGTGAATGGGCCTGAAAATCTCCACTTAGTTCTTTTCCACCAGCTAGAAGCAGAGGACTCCAGAGAGGGTGGCCAGTGCTGCAAGATGCAAAAGCCTGGGATCCTGAGTCACCACCTGGAAGAAGGAATGAGCTGACCAGGAATGCCAGCATCAGGCCATTATGTGAGCAAGAGAGAAACTTCCGTTGTGTGAAGCCGTTGAAATTTATGGGTGATATGGTTGGGCTCTGTGTCCCCACCCTAAATCTCATCTTGAATTGTAACAATCCCCACGTGTCAAGGGTGGAACCAGGTGGAAGTAATTGAATCATGAGAGCAGTTACCTCCAGCTGTTCTGGTGATAGTGAGTCAGTTCTCACGAGATCTGATGGTTTTATAAGAGGCTTTCCACCCTGTGCTTAGCACTTCTCCTGGCTGCTGCGATGTGAAGGATGTGTTTGCTTCCTCTCGCACCTTGATTATAAGTTTCCTGAGGCCTTCCCCAGCCATGCTGAATTGTAAGTCAGTTAAACCTCTTTCCTTGATAAATTATCCAGTCTCGGGTATGTCTTTACTAGCAGTGTGAGAACGGAATAATATAAGGGGTTATTTATTAAAGCAGTAGCCTTAACTTTATTGAATCTTTTCTTTGATGGAGTGTTTATTGTCCCAGCTCTAATTGCTATGAAAACCTTACTCACACTGAGCTAAAAGCTGCCTTCCCAGGAGTGACTCCAACCCATGGGCTACTGTTTTGCCTTTTCAGCGTGCACAGATGTATTTCCTCTTCATCAAGAAGCCTTTCCCAATATTTGGCAGCAGAAGTCATATTGGCTCTAGGATGATATTTCTCATTTCTTCATTTATGGCTGCAGTGCACAGTAGCAAATGATTAGAGTTTTAACCTCAGAGCTAAACAGACTCTCTCCTAGAGAGTTCCTTTTCTCCCTGACTCTTCCCAAAACTCAGCAGTCATCCCAAGGCTCTTACACCAAGAATTGTCCTAACTTTGGATTGAAGCCATAAGCTGCATGAATCAGATCTTTTTTCCAAAGATTAATAAAAATATTTACTCACTTGGTTGTATCTTGGGGGAAAAACCCACGAGACGTTTACAAAGAAGAGCTGAGACAGTCGAAGGCACTGCCCATCACATACTGTCATACAAACACAACAAGCCATTACTTGCTCATTCAAGAACCCTCTAGGAGTCCCCAGGTTCTCTTTACGGAGATAAAGGTAGGCTTGGGCATACTGTGTTCTAGAGTATCTGACATGATAGTGAAAATGTTACTTTTAAGCTGAAATACAATTTAATGAAGATAGCTACTTTCACACTGAAACAGTCACTGTCTCCAAATTCAGAGACTAAACTATCCATAATAAACTATCCATAAATTGCTGGCCTAATTCAGTTTGTCCCACGGATGCTTGCAAAGTCCAGATGTTATTAGTTGTTAGTAAAGCCCAAATGCACAGGGTTTTTCTTTTCCTCTTGCACAGCAGTTCTTCAGCCTTGCAGAGGATCTGCCTAAGATCAAGTAGTGTGGACAGAATCAGTCACGATATTTGTTATTTTATTCAGCTCCAGTTGAACTGCAGAATGGTGCGTTTATGTCACCTGCATGTCGCTTCATAATAATTATTCCGTGTGCATTTCCTTATGAGATGTGGAGTGTCTTTTAAATCACCATCCTCAACATCGGTGACTAAAAATACATTGGAAATAAAAACATCATTGGCTAGGCACGGTGGCTCACGCCCAAAATCCCAGCACTTGGGAGGTCGAGGCAGGCAGATCACCTGAGGTCGGGAGATCGAGACCATCCTGGCTAACATGGTGAAACCCCGTCTCTACTAAAAATACAAAAGATTAGCCAGGTGTGGTGGCACGCGCCTGTAGTCCCAGCTACTCGGGAGGCTGAGGCAGGAGAATCACTTGAACCCAGGAGGTGGAGTTTGCAGTGAGCTGAGATGGCATCACTGCACTCCAGCCTGGGGAACAGAGAGAGACTCTGTCTCAAAAAACAACAGTGAAAACAAACAAACAAACAAAAAAACATCATTGAGTATCATCATAGTCATTGCTTGAAACAACTGGCTTTCCCTGGTCAGCTGAGTACTGTCTGGTTTATAATAAAACCTCTGGTTCATGTGAACTCAGTTACTTCAAAGCCCATCTTGTTCTCAGTCTCTTGCATTTTAAATTATGAAACATTTGTTTGTTTGTTTTTGAGGTGGAATCTTACTCTGTTGTCCAGGCTGGAGTGCAGTGGTGTGATCTCGGCTCACTGCAACCTCTGCCTCCCAGGTTCAAGCAATTCTCCCTGCCTCAGCCTCCCGAGTAGCTGGGACTACTGATACCCACCACCACGCCTGGCTAATCTTTATATTTTTTAGTAGAGATGGGGTTTCAGCATGTTGGCCAGGCTGGTCTTGAACTCCCGACCTCAAATGAACCGCCTGCCTCGGCCCCAAAGTGCTGGGATTACAGGTGTGAGCCACTGTGCCCCACTGTTCAGTTTAGAGAGCTGTGGAAATAAATAATCATTCTAGTGTTCTGTTCCTCTTAATGCTTTCCATGCTGGCTATGGGTAGCGAATGAGGACCATGGATCACCCAGCATCACCATGATAGAAGAGATGAGTAACCCGACAAGATGATGCCACTAATTATTTATGAGAATGCATTAGAGAGCCCTCTGAGAAAAAAAAAAAAAAAACTATTTTGTTTGACTCTTTTTGTATCCTCTCCCAGGAGCAAAGAGAGATTTCTATCCAAGAAGAATTTTAATTATTGTAATAGTTAGTAATTGCCAAAAGTTTTGATGGAAAAACTCTGTGGAATCTTTTATTTTTTTGGTCAGAGAGAGCCAAAAAGAGTGAGTTGACAAAAGAAAGAACAGCTGTGTTTCCCGAAGAGTTTTTAGGCAAGGAGGAGAGAGGCTTCCATGGACGCTGGGTGGGAGTGTAAATTAGCACAAACAATTTGGAGGTGTATGAACAATATGCTTAAAAATTTCATACGTGTATACCCTTGACTCAGGAATTTTGGAGGATAGAAATTTAACTCCAAAACCAGCAGGCAAAGATGTAGATCCAAAAAAGTTCACAAGTTTTGGAGAACTTTTAAATAATTTTAAATAAAGATGTACTTTGAGTGATGATTATATGTGAAATATTTGGGTGTTAAAGATTGGATGATGGCTGAGACCAGCATGATTCCTGCCCTTCATGTGCCAGCAATGGCATTGCCTGGAAAGGACCATCTCCTGGGCTGGGTGGGATACATGGATGGTGTTTAGTTCCCGAGCCAGTGTCCAAACCACCTAGCAAGAAGTTAAAAAAAGGAAGTAAAGAATAGAGAGGGTGAGCTCCTGACCTGGTGGAGGGTGCAGGCCAGCTGGAAAGTGCACTGGATAACCCAGAAATATTGAGAAGAACCAGGGTGAAGTCAGAGAGGGGGAGGCCTCAGAGAAAATGTGGTCATATCACAGTTTTGTCCATGCTCATTCTCTAACCTAGATGCTACTTTATCCTCATTTATTTGTTTACTTATTTATTTGAGATGGAGTTTTGCTCTGTCGCCTAGGCTGTAGTGCAATGGTGCGATCTTGGCTCACTGCAACCTCCGCCTCCTAGTTCAAGCGATTTTCCTGCCTCAGCCCCCCGAGTAGCTGGGATTACAGGCATGAGCCATCACGCCTGGCTAATTTTTGTATTTTTAGTAGAGACTGGGTTTTACCATGTTGGCCTGGCTGGTCTTGAGCTCTTGATCTCAGGCAGTCCACCCGCCTTGGCCTCCCAAAGTGCCGGGATTACAGGTGTGAGCCACCGTGCCCATGCGTGAGCCACTGTGCCTGGCCTCTCATTTCTTTTTGCCATGTTTTTACCTTAAAACGTTTGCTTTTTGCATTTAGCTTGGAACTTACGCTCATATAACTTCATCCTTAGTTCTTCAGAAAACATTTCATATGTCCTTGTGAAGAATATTGTATGACTGTCCACCATTCCCTATGAACTAATAGGTTTTCAGAAAATATTTCATATGTCCTTGTGAAGAATATTGTGTGATTGTCCACCATTCCCTAAGAACTAACAGGTTTTGCAAAGCCTGGCACGGGGTACGATGTCTCGATTTGCAGCTCACTAACCAAGGACCTCCCTTCATTTCCTCTGTGTTTGGCAAGGCTGAGATGAAGAAGACAGTCCCTTGTGGAGGGTGCCTAAAGCACCTACCCTCATTCCATTTGAGACACAATCCTGCTGGTGCCTGTTAAATAAGCCGATGAGAGCACTGGGTCTTTAATGCAAAACAATGAAAAAGTCTACAACTTATTTCCCTTCAAAAACCAACGGCATGTTTGAGAAGTCTACAAACATCAGAGTGTGAGAGTGTCTGAGTGTGAGTGTGTGTGAGTGTGGATGAGTGTTGTGAATATGTGTGATTGTGTGAGTGGTGTGACTATGAATGTTAGCATGTGAGTGTGATTGTGACTGTGTATGACTGTGTGTGAGTGGTGTGCATGTGATTGTGTATGTGAGTGTGAGTGGTGTGTGTGTGTGTAAGTGGCGTGTGTATGTGGATATATTTGAGTGTATGAGTGTGAGTGTTGGACCTGTATGCAAGTGTGATAGTGTATGAGTGTGTTTGTGAGTATGACTATGTGAGTGTGAGTGGTGTGTGTGTATGCTAGTGTGATTGTGAGTGTATGAGTGTGTTTGTATGTCTGTGAGTGTGAGTCGTGTGTATATGTGAGTGTGAGACTGTGAGTCTGGTGTGTATGTGAGTGTGATTGTGAGTGTGAGTGAGTGTGTCTATGTGAATTGGGTGTGAGTGGTGTGTGTGTGAATGTATATGAGTGTGGGTGTGTGTGTGTCTAAATGAATGTGTGAATGTGTGAGTGGTGTGTATGTCAGTGTGTGTGTGTGAATGTATGTGAGTGTTAGTGTGAATATGTTCGTTAATTTAGGAAGGCCACACGCAGAGCGTAGACCACTGCCAGCCACCTCTTCAGCGGGTGGAAAATTTCTGACAGCCAGGCAAGGTCTGCAGGCCCCATCATCTCTCTGTTTGGGGTCTGCAAGGATCTGGAGAGAACCCCGCTGGAGGAGCTGGGCTCCCGGAGGCACTGGCAGCAGACCTCCATGTCTGCTCACCTCTTATTTGGAAATGTGGGAAATCACCCCCATTTCATCTTTTCTCTGTCAGTAGAGAACTTTAGTCTTCTTATTTGCTCAGTTACTATTTTTCCCACCATGGGAATATCTAAATCATCCTTCCTTTCCTAAATCTCTGCTCTATTGTCTTGCCGGTCATCCACAGTCCAGCCCTGATGCTGGATGCAATTGCTTCAAATGAATTAAGGAGCCGTGAGTGACTTTGAAAACCTAGCCTGTGGCTTCCCATGGGGGAACTGAAGGAAGACTTCAGAGACCACGTAGTTTAAGTCCTTTATTTACGAATGAGGACCCTGAGACAGTTTACATAAGCCCACCTGGTATGAGAGCCAGAAGCTTTGGATAATCTGGTTCCCCCTTCAGAGGTGACTCTGCAGGAACGCGCAGACTGAAGGCATAAGAAGCCCGTAGAAAGCGGTTAAAACAAGCCGTGTTTCTTCCCCTGTGATTAGTCGGCTTGAAATGTGTAGGGGGCATCTTCCACCCGTGCTGGGGCTGGGAATGGAGCAGTGACCGTGAGTTCCGTGGCACCTGCTGGATTTTGTAGTCCGTTGGGGAGCATAGGCTGTAAGTGAATACTTACCAGCGTATTGACGGCTCAGAAGAGAAAGCAGAATGTTAGCGGAGCACCTAATAGGACACAACTGAAATATTCCAGGCCCCTTGTCTCATGTTTGGCGGAAGTCTCCTGTTTCCAGTGGAGCTGTGTGTGTGGTTCACTTTCCAGGAGGATGCACCGTCCCCCAGGTGGTGTGCTGGGAGATTGGAAGTTCTCCACTACATGGCCTCTGGGCCAGTGCTATTAGCCCCACTGGGGAGAAGAAGAAACCGAGGGTAAGACACTGAGGACTTGTTTGAGGTCACACAGGAACGGAGGTGAAGAAAGAGTCACGGGTGGGGCGTGAGGGGCTGCTCACCGTGGCCGGAGTGGAGAGTTTAAAGTAGAGAGTGCCGGGACCGTGCTATTTATTTCTGGAGCCCGAGGCCACCTCCCCTTAGGAGATGATGCGCAGGGCCAGGCTGAGGCAGAATTGTGGGGTAGGTGACGGCTGCCCTCAGAAGTCTTAAACTCCCTGTGCAACACCTCCAGTGCCTTTAATGCCACTGCTTTCTCTTGGAATACGGTGTCATCAAGCTCCCTCCCCTGACAAATTCACTCCTCACTTCCTTCCCTCTCGACAAGCGGTTCCTTCCTCCCAGGAGAACAGTCCTCCCTAGAGGGGGCCATCTCAGGTCCTTGGGCGATGTGGGATGTGAGGAGGCTCTCCCCTTTCCGAGAAGCCCCGGAGTTGGCCGGGGCAACCAGGCGCCAACTCCACCCATGCGGCCTTGGGCTCAGGTAAACTTTGAGGGCTGTTTCTAACATGGAGCAGGGCTTTTAGCGAGCATATGATGGGGAGGATTTGCATCTTGGAAAGGAACTAACACAAGATACAAAGAAGCAAACGTCTCACCTTATCTCTTTTCCAGAGCCTCCTCAAGGCACCCACTTTCCTGTCTTTCCTTCATGATTATTCTTGACTGGTGACATTTATTCCTGACTGGTGACATTTATTGAACACCCAATGCATGCTACCAACAATGCTTTTTTTTTTTTTGTATCAGAATTATCCCTGGAAAAAATATAGAGGAGAGGTTAGTGGCATTTTTATTGTCCATCCGTACGTGGTACAGCACTGGAGAAAGGTAGTCAATACGTGGGAAGAGCCTCCTGTGAACTCATACTTACTTCACAAAGGAAAGAGGCTAAAATTCTGCCTTTTCTGAACAGCTGTCTCCATAGAGCTCGGTTCTGTTCTGGTTAAGTTAGTTAAGATGGTTAGTTTAGAGGGTACTTGGTGATAATGGGGCTAAGCCTTCTTTGTTTGTATTTTGTAATTACCTTTTTTTCTTTTTGTTGAGATGGAGTCTTGCTCTGTCACCCAGGCTGGAGTGCAATGGTGCGATCTTCTGCCTCTCGAGTTCAAGCGATTCTCCTGCCTCAGCCACCCCAGTAGCTGGGACTACAGGTGTGCACCACCACGCCCAGCTAATTTTTGTATTTTTAGTAGAGACACGGTTTCACCATGTTGGGCAGGCTGGTCTCGAACTCCTGACCCCAAGTGATCCACCTGTCTTGGTCTCCCAAAGTGCTGGGATTACAGGCATGAGCCACGGTGCCCTGCCACGTTACTTTTATTGATATAAAATTTATATAACATAAAATCCGCAGTGTATGGTTTTATACTTTTCACATTTGTAAGTGTGCATCAAGGTGGTTTTAGTGTACTCACAATGCTGCGCAACCCTCACACTCTCATTCTTGAAGATTTCTAGCCTTCCCCAAAGAAACTCCACACCATTGGCAGTCACTCCCAAACTTCCTCCTCCTAGTCTCTGGCCACCACTAATGTACTTCTATGGATTTGCCTATTCTTGCCACTTTATATAAATGTAATCATATAATACATGGTCTTTTATGTCTGGCTGCTTTCACTTAGAATAATTTTTTCAAGATTCATCTGTGTTTCAGCATGGAGGAGTACTTTGTTTCTTTTTATTCCATTGTATGTATACACTACATTTTATTTATTCATTCAGCAGTCAGTGGACATCTGGTTGTTTCTACTTTTTGCCTATGATGAATAATGCTGCTGTGGACATCCCTGTACAAGTTCTTGTGTGAAGATGTGTTTTCAGTTCTCTTGGGTGTATACCTAGGAGTAGAATTGCTGGGTCATATGGTAAATCTATGTTTAGCATTTTGAGAAACTGCCAAGATTTTTCTCACAATGATTGCACTATTTTATATTCATACCAGCGATGTAGGGGGATTCTGATAACTTTCTTGCCATCACTTGTTAATTTTGCTTTTTTCTTTTGAAATTATAGCCATCCTAGTGATGTGAAATGGAAACTTACTGTGATTTTGATTTCCATTTCCCTAGTGACTAATGATGCTGAGAATCTTTTCACGTGCTCATTGGAATCTGTACATCTTCTTTGGGGAAATGTTTATTTAAATCCTTTGCCCAGTTTACAATTGGATTGCTTGTCTTTATCGCTGAGTTGTTCTTTATACATTCTGGAGACTGGACGCTTATCAGATATATGATTTGCAAATATTTTCTCCCATTCCGTGGGTTGTCTTTTAACGTCTTGTCTGTCCTTAGATCATTGTTTTGAGCTTCTCGAAGGTCACTAAATGCCACACACCTATGGCCACAGACTCGAGATGGCCTCTGGCACAAACATTAGTTATAAAGGGGCTGAATGAGGAAGTGCAGGTGGATCTTGGAGATGCACTCAGAATTCCTCATTTGAATGCTTTGTAGAATGCCAAATAGCATTTCAAGTAAGAAAAAAAATAGATACCTAAAAAAAGACAGGAAGAATAATTTTGGGAAAACAGTCCAGATCTTGGAAATTGCAGCCAGGGAGTTGTTTGCTGAAGCACATCTTGCTTGAAGCACAAGACAGGGACCCCATCCACTAGAACCTGCATTCTCTCAGGGAGGTTGCAAGAGGATGGAAATAACTAATGTATCATTTAACACAGTTACTAATTAGTAATGACTGTCACTACTTGTTCAGTGGTCCTTTTGCATACATTATTTCTACTACTCCCAAAACATAAATAAGCCTTGTTATTATGCATGAGATGTGGAAACTGAGGCCTAAAGGGCTTGTCTTAGTCCATTTGTGTTGTTATAAAGGAATACCTGAGGCCGGATAATTTATAAAGCAAAGAAGATTGGTTCGTGTTTCTGCAGACAAGAAGCATGGTGTCAACATTTGCTTCTGATGAGGGTCTCAGGAATCTCCCACTCATCGTGGAAGGCGAAGGGGAGCCTGTGTGTGCAAAAATCATGTGGTGAGAGAGGAAGCAAGAGTGGTGGGGAATGGCCAGGCTCTTTTAACAACCAGTTCATGCAGGAATGAATAGAGCAAGAACTCAATCACCCCTAAGGGAGGGCATTCATCTATTCATGAGGGATCCACCTCTATGACCCAATCACCTCCCATTAGGCCCCGCCTCCAACCTTGAGGATGAAATTTCAACATGAGGTTTGGTGACAAACATCCAAAAGAAAGCAGGGGCCCACAGCCTGCCAGTGGTCACACAGTTTAACAGTGACTGAGACAGAATCCAAACTCAGATCCTAGGACTCCAAGGCTGGTGTGCTCCAAGGGCACCACACTGCACTTCTACCAGCTCAGCGATGCCCATAGGGTCTTAGGGAAGGAGGCTCTCAGTGAGGCTGGGGCAGTTACGGAGATGGGAGAAAAGGAGAGCAAGAGAATGTGGCCATTCTCGGGGAAATAACAGATAGCAAAAGCAAAGGAACAGAGGGCTGAGTTCACATTCTCAAGGGAGGAGAAATAAGCTTATTTTGCATTTTTACATTGCATCTTTGAAATCATTACATGGAGATTGGTGCAGTACTGAGGGGCAAGCAGCCACAAAGCTCAGAGGTAGATACCACGAGTAGATGGCATAGATTACAGGGCAGACACTGAGACGTGAAAAATCAAGATGAGAAAATTAAAGGCCAGTGTGAATAAGGCATCTGACTGGCATGTGATACTGTATAGATACTTCAGAAAGATCCCATGTTCCAGCTCCATCTTAGCAAGGTAGGGCAGCTTGGTGCAATTAATAGACGCTATTAGATTCTGTTAGGTAGCATCTAACAGTTTGAGTCATACACCTGGGACATAAACAAAAAAAAAGCTGGTATGTTTTCGCAGTGTGCCCCTGCTCAGTTTCCCCAAGAGTAAACTTGAGGACCCTGACCCATTTCAGCTACCCTGCAAATGCAAGGCTCACCAAGCCTATGCTACACAGACCATTTTATTTTATTTTATATTTGTTTCTTTAAATTTTATTTTAAGTTCCTGGGTACATGTACAGGATGTGCAGGTTTGTTATATAGGTAAATGTGTGCCATGGTGGTTAGCTGCACAGATCAACCCATCACCCAGTTATTAAGCGCCGCATCCATCAGCTCTTCTTCCTGATGCTCTCCCTCCCCCCACTCCCCACAGGCCCCAGTGTGTGTTGTTTCCCCTGATGCGTTCATGCTACACAGATCTTGAGGGTTGAACAGGACGTGTTCAGGCCTGCGCTCTCAGCTCTATACTCTGTGTCATCCGTGATGAGAACACTTCTCCCAGCTGAGTTCGGGACCACTTGAATCAAAGCCCTGCATACCATTTGGGCCTGTTCTGTGATCATTCAAGAAATGACCAGCTGAAACCTTGCTTCTTTGGTTAGGTAGTTTGGGTACAGGAAAAGTGCCTGTGTGTATAAGGTCTAAAGTAGGGAAAATACTAAAAAGACAAGGTAGGGAGAGACAGAGAGAGAGAAGGTCTGGATTTGAGTCTTAAATCCACCCTTTACCAGCTTTAGGATTTTTTTTTTTTTTTTTTTTTTTACCAATTGCCCTGTGCCACAGTTTCTTGCCCTGTAAAATGACCCTTACTCTACATACCTTCTATATTCATTATAAGGGACCTTTGAAAACAAGATGTTGAAAGAATTTTCACAAACTGTAACATGCAATAAGCTGTTGGTTCTGCCATTCATTCATCCACACACTCCTAAATGGTGAGGCCCTCGTCAACTCTGGGAACTCACTGGGATGCAAAACACTGGGATTCTTGCCCACAGGGAGCTGACCATGTAGATGAAATGCATACATTAAGTAGTCACACAAATAAAAATAGAATGATTTAACATGATACATGCTATTAAGCAGGGTCAGACGAATGTCCATGAAGCATTTCAGGGAAATATGTGGCTTCAAAGAGAGAATCGTAAGAGCTGTGCGTCTCATTCCTCTGAAAGTGTTAGAATAGCCAAGATTATTTAAAACTCAAAGGTCATAGGGGGCTGATATGGTTTAGATGTTTGTCCCTTCCAAATATCATGTTAAAATGTAATTCCCAGTGTTGGAGGTGGGGCCTGGGGGGAGGCGTTTAGGTCCTGGAGGCGGATCCCTCATGAATGGCTTGGTGATGTTCTTGCAGTAATGAGTGAGTTCTTGCTCAGTTAGCTTCTGCAAGATCTGGTTGTTTAAAAGTGTGTGGCAGCTGGGCGCGGTGGCTCACACCTACAATCCCAGCACTTTGGGAGGCCAAGGTGGGTGGATCACTTGAGGTCAGGAGTAGGAGACCAGCCTGGCGAACATGGTGAAACCCTGTCTCTACAAAATTACCAAAAAAAAAAAAAAAAAAAAAAAATTTGGCTCAGCATGGTGTCGCACGCCTGTAATTCCAGCTACTCGAGAGGCTGAGGCAGCAGAATCACTTGAACCTGGAAGTGGAGGTTCCAGTGAGCTGGGGTCATGTCATTGCACTCCAGTATGGACAACAAAAGCAAAAATCTGTCTCAAAAAAAAAAAACAAAACGTAAGATTTGAAGAGACGGGGTCTCACCATGTTTCCCAAGCTGGCCTTAAACTCCTGGGCTCAAGTGATCCTCTTGCTTTGACCACCTAAAGTGCTGGGATTACATTACACAGAAGCAGTTTTTAAGGCATGTTAAAATAAAACCCTGTTACAGAAAGCAACAGATTAATATGTCAATTTAATTTATTTTCGAAGTGGGGCTGTTCAATTGGTAATGTCATGATGTTAAAGCAAGTTTTCCAATTGTATTAGTTGATAGTCTTATGCCTTTTGAGACATGTGAGCTGAAGAGTATATGTTCTAGGAGGACAGGCTCCTAAATTCTTTTAGTTTCTTTTACCATTTGCAAAAGGCAGATAATCATAGGCGCCAGGACAGATTGTTGGGAATTTAGAAATAATGATAATAAAGATTCTTGGACACAGAAGGCACTCAATAAATGCCAACAGTGCCTAGGAAAGTACCTTGATTGTAGTAGGCATTCGATAAAATTGTTCCTGGCCTATTTGAGCCCTAAGTGCTTGGGCAATGAAGAAATCAAGAAGAACCAGGTTTCATACCAGAATTGTTGCCTAAGGGGCAGAAACATGCCAGCTATCATCATTGTTATTGTTACTGGCAATAATCATTTCTCCTGTGCTTTAAGTGTACTGCCCAATAAACCAAATTAAACTCAAACTAATAACGCCTTCTTGGGAACATAATCTCTCATGTCTTGACATTGCTGATGGTCACGCATGAAACATTTCCATAATAACAAGCACTTTACGGGCATCTATCTTATGAAGTAGAACATTAATTTGTATTGTTTATAAGAGCACTTAGGTTAGAGGAAGACAGATTATATTGAATCATGGCCAGCCCATTGCTCACCCTTGTCCGTGGTTGAGAGCTGAGCTTAACTAAACAGCATCTCCTTCCAGGCACAAAAAAGGAACATTGAGTTTCCCTTGATTTGTTTTTAGGGAGGAGGCTGAAATCGTTGCTAGCATTTTTTCTTTTTTTTTTTAGTTCCAGTCAAGGAATGTTATTAGGCTCTTCTAAAATAAAATAGCTATACTTTTGTTAGAAAGTAAACAGGAAGCCACTAATCAAAGTGAAAAACTGGGCTTACCAGATCACGTTGGTCTTTAACAATTTGAGCCTCAGTTATTTTTTTTCTCTCTCTACGTTAGCAAAAGTAATATTTCTTGCCTGTATTACAAGGTAATGCTGAGTAGAAGATTAAAAAATGTATATGTGTGTGTGTGTTTGTGTGTGTGTGTTTGTAGTTTCTAATTTGTAAAATTCACATCAATATTGTGATGACTATCACTATTCCTGGATTTCCTAGCCCATGATTCCTTTCAGCTCACGCAGCAGAGAATTAGACTGAATAACGTTTCATATGTTCACTCTTGGACAGTATGAAAAAGGACAGTGGCTACTTTTTTTTTCTATTTCCGCAATTCCCCAGGAGCTTGAGGAATGTCCTGAATTATAGATTAAGATTTTTCTAGAAAATGTGTGTTCAGGAGAGAACATCATTGAATGACCACCTATGGAATTCCATTCAATGATATTTAGCAAGTCCAGGCGATTTTCCTGGTCTCTTTTGGTTCAGAAGTTGTGGTCTGCCTTGGGAAGCACTGGGCAGCTTGAAGTGTGAACTTTAGCCAATAAACTTCCCAGGACCTGGGTGGGAGAGAAAAGATGCAAGAACTAGAATGAATCAATCATTTAACCTTATGTCGTTAGTTTCCTCATGTATAAAATGAGCTCTAAGGTTCATTCAGCTCTAAACTTTCATGCTCTGGTGACTCTGTCATGTTTGACTCTAGTTAGAGAAACTACTACACAACTTACTAGGATTGCAACAGTCCCGATTCCTGTAAAAGCCACATGTATATTAGAATGTTTTCAAATGGAAGTAAAGAAAACCTTCCAAAAGTGGCTTAAACAATGAGGACATTTATTTTCCTACATGACTTGAAGTCCAGGCAGACAGTTCTCAGGTTCGTTCAGTGGCTTGTGGATGTGTTCAAGGACTGAAGCTCGTCCCATCTTTCTGGGATATGATCTCTGGTGTTATGGCTCAGACTTTCTTGGTTTCATGGCTCAGACTTTCTTGGTGTCGTGACTCAGACTTTCTTGGTGTCATGGCTTGGACCTTAGGCTCATGCCCTCATACTTGCAATTGACTACTCCTGACCTCACATATAGATGTGACTTTTATCGACCCAAGAAGAAATGGAGCATTTCATCTATTACTCTTTTTATTAAGGAATTCAACCTTTCTTAGAAGTCCTGCTGATATGGTTCGAATCTGTGTCCCCACCCAAATCTTATGTTAATTGTAATCCCCAATGCAGGAGGGGCCGGGTGGGAGACAATTGGATCATGGGAGTGGATTTCCCCCTTTGGTGCTGTTCTCCTGATAGAGTTCTCATGATATGTGGTTGTTTAAAAGTGTGGAGGACCTCCCCCATCTTTCTTACTCCTGTTGCAGCCACGTAAGACGTGCATGCTTCCCCTTCACCTTCTGCCATGATTGTAAATTTCCTGAGGCCTTCTCAGCAATGCTTCCTGTACAGCCTGTGGAACTGTGAGCCAATTAAACCTCTTTCCTCTATAAATTACCCAGTTTCAAGTATTTTTTATTGCAGTGCAAGAATGGGCTAATACACCCCCAAACTCTCAGCAGACTTCCTCTCTTGTTCATTGGCTAGGATTGGGTTGCATCACATGCCCATGCTCTAGCTGCAACAGAAGAATGGAAGGAGCCTTGGAAAGTATCTAGTGTTTTCAGCTCTTCTGGGAGGAGGTAAATTCTACAAGAAAGGGAGCTGGAAGTGGGGTGTGTATAGCTACAGAGTAGGAAATAAAAAATATTGTGTCACAAGCTAGGAAATATCCAGCTTTACCTGTGGGTAGTAGAAGATAAATGTATTTATACTTGTCAGCATTAGAATACTCAATTTCATCTGTAGAATGACCAAATTGAAATAGATAATCCTCGGTCTTACAGACCTAATGGAAGAAGCAGATCCATGTACCTAAAGAATGCAAAATGAGCTATTCATAGACCATGGGCCTATTTTTGCCTTTCTTGACAACTTTAATTATTTTTTTAAACTAAGGGCTCCTTCATTCTTTCGGAGTCCCCAGTACTTCAGTGAATGATAGTGTTCTTGAGTTTCTATGAGCACATTAGAATTTTACACCTTCGAGGTTAACAGAGCCTGTTTTTATGTGCTGATGGCTATAATCAAAGCACAGGATTACTTAAACTAACAAGCGAGGATCCATCCCAATAGAAATGTAAACAGAACTTTAATCCATCATTTTGCTAATGGTCCTTTCCTGGTACATTCATCAGCCTCCGTTCCAGCTTTTGGCCTAATACATACACTGTGTTGTTTTATGACCTCTCCTCTGACTGTTAATATAGGAAAGGAGGTGTTATGTCTCCCATTACACAGAGACATAATGGAATGAGGGACTTGCTGGAGATTGCATTTTCTATCATTGCGTAGGTCTTCTAACTGGACGAATGCCAGTTTTCCCTCCTGGTCTCGGCCCAAGTCCTTCCTTTGGCATTCCCAATTTCCTTTTGTATTCAGAATGAATCTCATGTTCACATGGATATGCTTAGAGGTGGCAAACCAGCATCTTCCAAGTGGGTGTCCTTGATGTCAACAGAAGAGAAACAGACCAAATGGCCTGGCATGGCCCTTTGCCCGCACTGCTTTGTAGCCAAGATAGAAACTAAAGCCCATTGGCTTCATCTGGACACTAATCCAGATAAACATTTAAGCACATGTATTTGTCCACGGGTGCTATTTGTCCTGAAGCACAGTGAAATTTAGTCTAACACTTGATTTCATGTTTTGATGTTTCTTTCTCTGCAATCTGATACTGTTGTAAGCATGAATATACTAGTGTGCTAGGGCTACCATAACAAAGTAGCATAGACTGGGAGGTTTAAACAACAAGAATGTATTTTCTCATCATTCTGGAGGCTTGGCAGACCAAGATCAAGACGTTGGCAGGGTTGGTTCCTTCTGAGGCCTCTCTCCTTGGCTTGCAAATGGTGCCTTCTCTTTGTGTCTTCACGTTGTCTTTCCTTGGTGTGTGTCTGTGTCCCAATCTCCTCTTCTTATATAGACACAAGTCAGATCGGATGAAGGCCCAGCCTAATGACCTCATTGGAATTTAATTACATTTGTAAATTCAGAGTGAATGGGGGTCAGGAGTATAACATGTGAATTTTAGGGGATGTAATTCAGCCCATAACAATAAAGTTGGTGGTTTACCCAGATGACTACAGGTTGGGGACACTTCTGAAAGGACAGATGGACTACATGAGCTATGTGGCACAGTCAGATGTCGAGAAACTTTGCTATGCCTCCGAAGTCAATGCCCGCGGCTGCCACATTCTTGGAAATAAAGGTAGCTTTAACAAACATACGTTTGACATGGAGTTGTAAACAGCGGAAATGTGATAGATGTACATAGCCAGAGTTTCAGGATTTCAGAGATTTGGTACCTGTTATGTATATACTTTCTTAAATGGCAGCTCCAACTGGTAGCAGCTCTGAAGAGCAGTGGCTATATACTAGAGAAAATGAGAAGGAAGACACATGTAGGAGCTGCTACTGTGTGATAGGAACTTTAAGCACCGGGGACTTGGTAATGATTTCCCTGAGAGGCAGTGTCCAGGTCCCTAATTCTGTGGACCCTGTGAAATAGACTAGAGGCAAGCACACAAAGTAAAGGCAAAAAGAGAAAGGAAAGCAAAGAATGGAAACTGCTGAACTCTGCATTACAGAACAGAATGAAACGTCGCCCAACATTTCACGAGGTTAGCCATCATCTTTCTTTACAAGTTATCCAGTTCCATTTGTTTGGGGCGTTTTCTTCCTTAACTCCCATGGAAAAATAAATACATCATTTTTTTTTTTGAACTGTGGGTGGAATGAACTCTTTAGAAATTGATATGGGCATCCTCTTGGCTAGATTCCTGCCACTCAACCAAGTAAAGGAACTCACGCGGCTGCAGGACTAAGCTCCTCCCACGTCTGCCGCTGTGGTTGGATGTGCAGGCTGAGAGCGTCGTCTTGGATCCTAGCACCCACCGTGCCTAGCACACAGTAGGTGTTCAGCACATGCCTGCTAGACTGACGTGTCAGATAGTGTTTCAGTTTACCCAATAGTCATGAGTGTCAGAATAGCTGGCTGTCGGCTGGAGCTGGGAGTACATTCCAGGGTAAGTATTAATGTTTCAGCGCTGCTGCGTGCAAATCATACTGTTCTGTATTCCCTCTTCCCACCACAAAATGTGTTTATGTGGATTAAATAGGGTTATTAGGGGTAGCAGGGATAATCAAACCCAAGTTCTACCATACAGTCACTTTTGCCCGGTGAGCTTAATTTAGACACATAGAGGTCAAATTACAAATGGCTGAGCTCACAGAAGCTTCAGTTTCTGGTTCTAGCCACAGGGGGAGAAAGCAGAGCTGGAGACATTCCCAGTTTCTAGGTTCTCATACAAAAACCAACTGGCTGCCACAGCACAGTCACCGAAGAGGGAAGAAGACAAGGAGAGGTCAGAGTTCAAACTCAATTCCGGGAATTTTGTCTTGAGATTGTTTGCCTTTCTTTAATTTTCAGAATTGAGATTCTTCCTGCCTGGGTCTATTACAATTGACTTTAAACTGGAGGAGGTTAAAAAAAGTTTCATAGAGTGAGCAAAAAAACAATGCATCTATTTACGGGCCAAGCTACTCTCCCCTCCCCCATGCAGGCACAGGCAGGCAGGGAACGATTTTTCTGGGGAAAGATTTTTCTTTCTTTTTTAACGCAATGACAAACACTATTTACTAATGTTAAAAAAAAACAAAAACAAAAACAGAAGGAGCTATGTTCTTACCACAAAATAACAACACTGTAGATCACACTAAGTGAAGGGTCCACATCTTATAAACACAACACACTGCATTACTCCACAGTGAGTTATGATGTTTCATTGCAGGGAGCAGCGGAGTCTGAATCTATTAATGATTCATGCTTGCCTCAGAAGACCATAATGTATACTAATCAGACCCAACCGGGGGACAAGAGCACTTTAAATGCATTTGTCCAGTTAATAGTTTGACTTGATCTGATATTTCATTGGGTCACCGACCTTTTCATTGTAGGTAATGTGCAGAGGAAAATGTATGGCTGACACCCTGAAGAATCGACAGAGGACTTGCTGGTTACCAAGCAACGTGCTACCTAAGCTTTGCCTCTGCGTAATTCTGCCAATACTTCTTGCAGTTGATGAGCTTAAGTGTAGCCCTGTGAGCTTGTGAGTGCGTGTATGTGTGTGTGTGTTTTGGGGAGCAGAGACACTACAGGCAGAGAGTAGCTCATTCAGACTGCTTTTTATAGGCATTAAGCAATAAGTTCCCATAATAAACTGCCATGCCACAGTTAATACTCAATAAACAGTATGGTTTATAAGCAATTAGGGACCCAAATCTCAAAATAAGACAGTTCCGCAGAATGAGAGCATCCACTCTAACAAGGCTCAGTAAGATATGTGGCTTGTTAAAAGTGTCATAATTCTCCTTTAAAAAGCAATTAACAGTTTGGTATATTTTGGTCTGCCAAACACAGAGTTTCTTAATCAAATGTGAACACAATCAAAGAGCCACTTCTCAGCTTTACATAATGGACAGTCAAGTACACAGAAAGCACAGCTGAAAATAAAAGGATGAATTGATGTTCTCTCCTGTTTGTTTATCAACCTGTGAGTCCATTGAAGACATCAAGATGAGTCAGATAAATGCATTTTGTCAGGTTTTCAAAGAAAGCCAGCCAGCTTCTCTATTTTGCCAAGGTCTTTGTATTTCCTAGTAACTTCGTAGGTTAAAAAAATATGTTTTCCAGCTCCTTCTTTAAACTGTAGGTGATTGGAGAAATAACACACGTTTGCTTGTTTGTCTTTTATAACCACAGACACAAGCATCTGGTCCTTACTCCGTGCAGCTGCAGGAACATCACTGCCTCTTACCGGATTCGTTGCGAGGTATTTTGCAACAGGATTCCAATGCCCAGTTGCGGGTTTCCTTTAACTACCATATCTGAGGCCCAGCAACTCTATTTTTAAATACACTTGCAAGTGATATAAGCTTCCAACACTATGTACAAGGTGATGGGATGCTGGACAGAGACCGATGTATTTCCTTCTTCAGGGACTTAGCATCCAAGACAGATTTACAAACGACTACACATTTCCTGTTAAAGCACATTGAAATGAATGCACAGTAGATCAATACTATGGGCCTTCTAAAATCACTTATTTGACTCTCTTATCTATAAATTGAGTAATTTTAAAAATTAAGAATGGAGAGAAATGTGCAGAGAGGACGAAAACTTTAATGTGTACTTAGATAGTTGGAAATGTCAAATTAAACCAAATTTAAAAATTGATCCCTCCTCCTTCTGTTCCCACCAGCTCCAGGCATTTATGATGTTCTAGGAAAGTATCTGTTGAAATTCCTGCACTTTATGACATTCCCCCTTTCTATCCAGCTTAATGCGTGGGTAGTAGAATGTAAATGTATTCATATTTACCAGCATTAGAAGCCTCAATTTCATCTGTAAAATAACCAAAGTGAAACAGATAATTTCTAGTATTTTTTCTCTGGCAACCTATGATTCAGCAAATCACTGAACTCTTAAAAATTTTCATAACGTATATGGAGGTCTAGGAAAGTGAAATCAGTCAGAAAAAAATAATAAGTAATGTGGTCCACAGACTTCTTTGAAAGACAAGTATAAATATTCAGACTAAAAACCAAACTTCAAATGAACTGAAGTTTAGAAAATCTTCTAAGCCAAACTTCTGGGACAATGAATTAATTTTCATAGTCAGGATTGGGGGACTATTCAGAATAGGCTGAGAAAATTCTATTCTTCCTACTGGGAATATTTAGAAGGTCACTACACCAACATCACACCAACCTCCATCTAGATAAGTATGAATAGTCCTCAAACCAATGGATGTTGATATATTTTATCCACTCCACGAGCATTTAAAAGGTGTGCTGCATGTTCCGTGTCTCAGACATTACACTCTCTGGGGTGATTCTAATCACCCCTCCCTTTATCCCCACTCTGCTGTACTCACTTTCCAATTCTGAACACGAGAGTTGGAGACCAACTCATGGATGTCTTAGCTTCCTAAGAGAGGATGAATGTAGGGTCCTAAGGACTCATTCAGGAATGCCAAAGTTCCTCTCTCCTTAGCAGAGTGTAGAGGATTAGCCAGAGTTTGAAGAAATATCTTAGTTCTTTGGAATTCAGCCCATAGAATGGAATGTGGCAGACGTGTCCTTCTTAAAACAGCTTCCTTAGGGATGTGCCTCTGTTTGCAGAATCCCACAGTTAGAAATGCATTCCTTTGACAGCGAGGTATGGCAGGGAGACTTCCACAAAGCCAAGCCATTAGCTGGTACTAAGCAAATCAAGTCCTTTTCAGTACACCAAAGTGAAGAGAGCTATCGGGATGGTTCTCTTTGACTGAATTACACGGGACCAAGGGAACTGGGTTAAATAGTATATAGGAGAAGTTAGAATGTGAAAAGGGAGGGGGCAATGCCTAATGCAAATCACACCCATTTAACAATTGCTCTGAGATGTGTCTGCTAGCCAGGGACCCCTTTTCAGAAAATGCAGAGTGGAGTTATGCAGCTTCTGGGCACTCGCCTTCCTCTGCCTTCTTTCCTTCCAGCTAGTTTAGCCATAGCAGCACTGAATTCTCATTTGGGTGAATAGCAAGATTTATCGAAATGAAAAGCACAGTAAATATTGACTGTGGCAGTACGGAGGTCAATATTTACCTCAAGGGACGATAAATCCTCATATTCACTGAAACATAAAGTCAATATTTTGAGGGTGGTGTCAGATGCATCCTAAATGTGTTCACCAGAAGTAGCTGGAAATATTTCTCTAGTGAGCATAGGTGTCTCAAGCTTTGCAGTTTTCCATTTCTGTTCGTATTTTAAAGCATAGAGGGATTGAGAGGGTGGAGAACTTGCATTGCTACTTTTTTTGTTTGTTTGTTTTTGAAAAAAGACAAAGATACAGCTTCCCATCCAAAACGCATCTGTCTTTTAATCATTGTTTTTGAAAACCTTAAAAAGCATTCGTGGGCTGGGACTTTCCCCGTCTATGTGACAAATGGGGAAGATGCTCCCACCCTTTGGCCCCTCAATTACTGCACACAGGGGAAGCAGGAAGGAAGAGCAAGGGATGGATTCATGTTTGCAACAGAGCTTTTCATTGCTCCAGCTGCCGAAGCCTATTTTATTCTCACAAGAAGTGATGTGCATTTACTTATCGATTTTCCATCCACTTCCTTTAAATGTAGCTTTCATTCCACTGATTAATTATTAAACCATTGAATAAAAAGCACTATCGTTTGTTAAAAGAAACCTTCCCCACTAGGCCACTGTTTTGTGTAAATGGAATGTTGTCGCTCCTTTTGAGAAAGCGATGCCTCAACTCCTCCATGGACTTCAGTTCCAAGGTACCCACAGTTGCTGTTTTGTGACACAGCTCTACTCAGGGCTGTTTAAGGGGTAGGGACACGGATCCAGCACAGACAAGAGCTGCAAGAGGCAATAGCCACATCTCTGCTCCTTGGTCCTGGGCAGAGGGGTGGCTGGCTGCCCATGTTGCCCACAGAGTGGGTTTTCAGACTTTCTGGGAAGCAAATGCTTCTTCTCTAAAATGATTCCCTTGGTGCTCACTGATGTCCTGTAACATCATATTTCACTATCACTGATGAAGCTTTAAAAAGGAAACCCCACTGGCCACAAATTCATATTCAGTAGAAATGATTGACACTTTGTCTCTCTCCTGAGCACAGGTTTTGGTGGAGAAGAGATAAGGTGGGCACCTGCATCGCCCACCTGCAGGGAAACTGGGGAGAGAAAGGTACAGGAATGACAGTGCTAGAACTCCCACGTGGGCCCCACTTAGTTCGAGGAATTATTCTGCATCCACCACTGTTTAAGAACATAGCATGGGTTATTGTGTCCATTTCACAGATTGGGGAATGCAGGCAGAGGAGGGAAGTAACCTGCCCAACCTAGGAAGGATGAGTGGGGAGGCAGGATCCAACCGAGGCCATCTGCCGGTGTCATTCCAGGCTGTGAACAGGGTTGGAGCCCAGTTGGCATCATTTTCTTTCTTCTTTTCCTTCTTGTCTTCCCCCCAAGGCCCACCCTCATGCTTTAAATCGGGTGTGTTGGTGAAGGGATTTAGACTGCTTCTCTCTTGGTTTTTGTTCATTTCAGAATGGAGTGCAGCCTCATACTCTCTTTCAAGCTTGGAGTACTTTGGATGTATCCTGGGTAGGCAAAAGCTGCAGGGAGACGCCTAGAGCTGAGTCAGGGTCCTGGTATCCTACCCACTAGGAAACTCTACTGTGCCGGAGATTCCCCTGCCTGTTGGGTTTGGGAAGCTCCGTGGTGGGGCGTGTCAGCCTGGGATTGCTCTGTGACAAGCGTGGGAAGAAGAATGTGGATGTAGCAATTAAACAGGACCAATTCAACATGCAAGAAAACTCTATGCGCAGCTCAATTCTAAATTTCTACTTCCAGAAGAGGTCCTATAAGATTTCCTCTCCATGCCCATTCCTCTCAAGTGGTATTTAGCTTCCCCTCCTGAGTAAGAGTCACCTCCATGTACCTTTGCAGGGGAGAAGCTGGCCCCATCCTTCCGTAATGACTTATAAGAGCAAAGCAAGGATAAACCCAGTGCCTTCTGTCAATTTACTGGGTACCAAAGGGAAAACCGTAAGCTTAGACTTTCAGATGAAGAATGGAAATATCCTTAGTGCCATGAGACTGCCACTGAGTGTTTTTCTCCCCTATTTACAAGGCTACTTAAGATGGAGATTGTCTCAGAGGAAAATTCTATGTTAAGAAACCAGTAGTGTGCAACTCCTGGACATGGTTATAATGTCCTGAGCTCTGTTTGAGGACTGGGGAGAATTTAAAGGCATTTGCTAGGACTTTCAGGGCAGGGTCTTTTCCTTTTATTTTGTGCTCCTGGGACCCTTGTGATGCTGGTTTGCTGACATGCTAGGCACACGTCACACTTGGTGAATAAAATGAAAATAGACATAGAAGCTTAAAAAGCAAGTGGCAACCCAAATATCCATTAACAGATGAATAAATAAACAAAATGTGGTATATACAGTGTAGTGGTTCCTCAAAAAATTAGAAATCGAATTACCATATAGTCCTACAATTCCACTTCTGAATATTTATGCAAGAGAACTGGAAGCAGGGACTTGAAAAGATATTTGTTGACCCATGTTCATAGCAGCATTCACAATAGCCAATAAGTGGAAGCAACCCCAGTGTCTATTGACAGATAAATGGATAAAGGAAATTTCGTAGCCTTCCTTGTAGAGGTCTTTCACCTCCCTCGTTAGGCATATTCCTAAGTATTGTTATTTTTATTTTGTTGCAGCTATCATAAAAGGGTTTGAGTTCTTGATTTGATTTTCTGCTTGGTCGCTGTTGGTGTATAGCAAAGCTACTGATTTGTGTATATTAATTTTGTATCCTGAAACTTTGCTGAATTCATTTATCAGTTCTAGGAGTTTTTTGGAGGAGTCTTTAGGATTTTCTAGGTATACGACCATATCATCAGTGAACAGTGACAGTTTGACTTCTTCTTTACCGATCTGGGTGCCCTTTATTTCTTTCTCCTGTCTGGTTGCTCTGGCTAGGATAGAAATGGTGAGGATAGGCATCCTTTTCATGTTCTAGTTTTCATAAGGAATGCTTTCAAATTATCCCTGTCCCATATAATGTTGGCTGTGGGTTTGTCATCGATGGCTTTATTACATTGAGGCATGTCCCTTGTATGTTGATTTTGCTAAGGGTTTTAATCATAAAGGGATGCTGGATTTTGTCAAATGCCTTTTCTGCATCTATTGAGATCATCATATGATTTTTTTTATTCTGTTTATGTGATGTATCACATTTATTGACTTCTGTGTGTTAAACCATCCCTGCATCCCTGGTATGAAACCCACTAGATCATGGTGATCATGGTGAATTATCTTTCTGATAGGCTGTTGGATTCGGTTCGCTAGTATTTTATTGATAATTTTTACATCTATGTCCATCAGGAATATTGGTCTGTAGTTTTCTTTTTTTGTTATGTTCTTTCCTGGTTTTGGTATTAGTGATGCTGACTTCTTTTTTATTATACACCCTGGAATATTATTCAACCTTAATAACAAAGAAGGAAATTTTGTCACGTACACAAAATGGATGCACCTTGAGGACATTATGCTAAGTGAAATAAGCCTGGTACAAAGATACAAATGCAAACTGATTCCATTCATGTGCAGTCCCTCGAGCAGTCAAAATTCTAGGGGCAGGAGGTGGGCTGCTGTGTCAGGTGCTGCGGGGAAAGAGAATGAAGAGTTGTTGTTTAACAGGTAGACAGTTTCAGTTTGGGAAGATGAAAAGGGTCTGGTGATCTGTTTCACAACAATGTGCATATACTCATGACTTCTGAACTATATATTTAAAAGTGGTTACAATGGTAAATTGTGTTATGCATTTTTTACAACAATAAAAAACGTTAGGCCGGGCGCGGTGGCTCACGCCTGTAATCCCAGCACTTTGGGAGGCCGAGACGGGCGGATCACGAGGTCAGGAGATTGAGACCATCGTGGCTAACACGGCGAAACCCCGTCTCTACTAAAAATACAAAAAAATTAGCTGGGCATGGTGGCGGGCGCCTGTAGTCCCAGCTACTCGGAGAGGCTGAGGCAGGAGAATGGCATGAACCTGGGAGGCAGAGCTTGCAGTGAGCGAAGATCGCGCCACTGCACTCCAGCCTGGGCAACAGAGTGAGACTCTATCTCAAAAAAAAGATAAAATTAAAATAAAATAAAAATTAAGTTGTGAATTCGCTTCTCATTAAGAAAAGAAAATGCTATCAAAATACTCAGCACTGGAGGGAGAAGCACATAGGAGGCAGGAAAAGTACATTTATGGAGTGGCTTCTATATTGCAGAGGTCAGGTTGGGGTAGAACTTAGCAAGCCGATAAGCTTTCTCAGCTGCAGATGCTTCCCAGATACAGAAATGAAATTGTGAGATGAATGAGCCAATTGTTTTTAAACCCATGGGATAGAAGCCTTGTGAGGTGACCTTTGGTGGGCACTTACTATTGAGTGTACTTGGCCCGTGTAAACCCTCATATAGGCACCGCCTCATTCAGCCCCCAACTTCAGGATTTCAGCATGATCATCACGACCATTTAGAGACAGATGAGGAAATTAAGGCTCAGCGAGTGAGGTTAAGTAACTTGCCATCCAGCTGGCGACTACAGGCCCATATCCCAAACCCAAGTTGTTCATCATGATTATTTACTGCACCATTAACTGCCCCGTGAAAGGTTAACTTTGATTAATCAAACTCCTTCAGCTTGCCTGCTTGTTCAACAGCTCCAAGGCCATCTATCCTGCTGTCAGCCAATGTTCATTTCTTAAATGTTCATTTGAGAAATGTTCAAAGATAGAATAAGAGGCTTCATTGAGTGCCTCAGGAAATAAAATACACCAGGCTTCTGACATATCCCTGGCATGACTGATACCTAACAATCTTGTAATAATTAGTAATATTCCAAGTCACCTGTTGGAAGCTCTGTTCTAGAATTCCTTTACAGCACTTCACACTGAGCAGTTTACCTTCCCTAAAGCTCACCTTTGCTTCTTTCCTCAAGGCTGGGGTCATGTTTGTCTGCCATGTCTTCTGTTCCCCTCCAATTCTCTCCCTCATTATGGCACTACCTTTGAGACCAAATCTGTGAGCTTGTTTCCAAACTTCAGCTCTTCATGAAAGGTGCTTTTGGATTTGAATTCTGTGAAAGAGAATAGCATGTATATTTCCTCCTACATTGAAGCTTCTCTCCTTTGGAACAATGCTTGCCCATTTTCCTGAGTGAAAACCAAGAAGTTAGAAGTTGAGGAGTTCTACCATCTTTTAATCACTTGTTGACATTGCCTTAATTCTTTGGCAATGGGCCTATTTATTGCTGGTCAGTTTTATTCCCCAACATTTTATTTTCTTAAAATATGCCTTTTTTTCTTTGTTCTTGGCATTTTTCATGAAACAATTTCTTTCTGGCCCATAGCTTCTTGGGCACTGCTCTTGGAAGTTGATGCTATGCTGTGTATTCTTAGTGGAGTGGTTATGAGTGAGCTAGTATCACTTCGTTGACATTCTGAGCAAGGACGCTGTTAGCAAAGTAGATCAAGAGTTATAAACTTGGAATAGTAAAGTCAATGTAGAATGATATTCTGATGAGTGAGGTCATCCTGTCACTACTGACAAGTTTCTCTGTGCTAGTTTTTGAGTCTGGATTTGGAGAGCATCTGTGTTCTCCAGCTGCCTAAGTGAACAGTCCTAGCAACAAACTTAACCAGATCTGGCGAGCTGTGACTTTGGCTTGGTCACTGCACTGGTCAATGAAGTCCTTGGCTGGGAATCGAGAAATCTGATGGTAAGATGATAACGCAATGCAGTCATTAGTGTTCATATGTGAATGGGTGAAGCATTACAAAATCAGACTATACACCTTAGAGTATTTTAGAAAGTAATGACAGTGCTATTATGTAGAAAGACAGGATTCATAGAGGATAATAAATCCTAATCAATAAATGGTCACTTGACTCTCAGTGAAACTCCCAGAGCAGTAACACTCTTATAAGCAGAGAAGTCAATATTGCTGCCAAACTTAGTTGACACTTAACAAAAATCTATGGAGTAAAAGAAAGCAAGCAAACAAATATTAGGTCTAGCAGAGGAACAAATGTGAAAACAGAGAAACCATAGAAAAGCTTACTCTTTGACACAATGACTGCCCAGAAACGCTAGCTCGATGTGCTGGGAAGAAGAGGCACCTCTTCCAGATTATTATTCAGAAGGCAGCACCACCAGGTGATATGTATTAGGAGATCATTTTTAATTCCAATAGTAAATGATCATACTTGACTTATTAATTGAGCCTATAGTCTTATAATGAATCTATTGCAAATTCACTTGAGTAATAAATAAACTAATGTTTAACACGATAATAGCTATAACATGGCATCATTTCAGAAGATAATCACTCTTACACTATTTTATTTTATTTTCCTGGAGGTTGTATGCACATAGTGAAGGAAGGCATTATTCTTGTCGTTCTGAAAGTTTCCTGTTGAGTAACAGCTGGTCTTAGGTTGGGCTTCCCAGGAAGCAGACCCTGAAACAAGAATCAGAGTGCAAATGGATTCTTTCTTTGGGAGGTGATTCCAGGAAGCACGCATACGGAGGTGGGGAAGGGAGAAAGGAAGGAAGGGAGCCAATGTGGGGAACGTTAATGAGCAGATAATAGCAGGCAGCACTGGGAGATGGTGTACGGCGGACCTCAGAGTTGACCTACCCAAGGGATTGGTGAGTTGGACGGTCTATTTCCAGTTCCTGTCCATGGCTTGTCTGAGGGTTGCTGAGAATGGGGATCATTCATTCTGCCCCATGTGCAGGCTGAGCCCAGCTAGAG
This sequence comes from Homo sapiens, assembly GCF_000001405.40. NCBI lineage: Eukaryota > Metazoa > Chordata > Mammalia > Primates > Hominidae > Homo > Homo sapiens. The sequence goes on along the minus strand of NC_000010.11, from coordinate 7,075,935 downwards.
ATGGCACTCAGGGCAAGAGCCCCAGGGACTTGCAGAAGCAAGTGACCAGCATGTACAGGACAGGTGAGGCCAAGGGGACGTGGGTGGACACTGGCAGCATCTGAGACATGGCTGCACCTGCCTTCTTCCTTCTCATCCCCATTTTCCCAGAGAAAGTCAATTCCAAGGTTGTAATTTTTCTGCTATTTGCTTTTGTATTTCCAAATCATATACTTGTACTGCTATGCATTAATTGATCAATCTTAGATAATATCTATCAACTTTACATGTTTTAAAATTTGGGCATTTACCTCTTTTATATCTCCACTAGCCCCTCTTTCTTTCTTCTTCCCCTGTCTTCTCAGTAGTGTCATACATCAAATTTTGGCCACATCTACCAATTAGATAATGCTATGTAATGATTTTTACTAATGGGTCAAGTCATATAATTTGATTCCATTTTCTGTTTCACACTATGTTTTTGTTATTCTTAGAATTAATTATTGCCTCATTTTTTTCCCATTTGCTTGGTTTTGTATGTACTTGTCACTAACTCTTACCAGATGTTTTAACACATTTGGCATACGTCTACTAATAATCTTGCCAAGAGCTCGAATGCAATGCCAAGCAGTCCATCAGGTCGGTTCTGCCGTCCAGTTCTCCACCTGCTCCACACCTCCTCAGAGAAATGTGCTCCAAGCTTCCCCTTCCTCTGTCCCAGTTTGTTCTCTAAGCCTGTCATGAAGCTGAGTGCCTGCGGCTTCCCTGTGCTGCCTTTCTGGGGTCCTGTTCCCTCCATCCCACACTTTTCTCTTCTGGGTTTAGTCCCCAGTTGAGGCAGTTGAAGAGGAATTGCAGCTTTCTTGAGAGAGCCTGCAACACAGATGTGCACCCGGGAGCCAGGCAGTGTCTCCACAGAGATGTCCTTCTGCCTGGCTGCAGGTATCTGAGAGTGATGGGAAGGACCCAGGCTGCAGTCCTAAAGTTCAAGGTGGAGTTTTCATTTAATCCTTCTGTTTTCAGCCATGTGTTTCATGCTGCCTTCTCTGCTTAATGCCCCTGAGTCCAGAGGATCTTAGTTTCAATGTATTCAGAGAGTAACTCTTGTCTCCCTCTGGGGAGAGGGGCTGTATGGCTGCCTGGCTGCAAGGGTTGGGGTGAGCAACACTGAGGAGTGTCCAGTGGTCCTACATGCAGATAAGAAACAAGCCTTACTGTTTTCAGCCATGTGCTTAACTTAATCTTCCCTCTTAGAACTACCCCTCTCAGCAGTTCTGTAAGGAAAAATGTGTCACCTCTCATCAGGAAGTCCCCATTGCAGGAATCTCTCTGTGTTGCCTCACCCCCACTGTTCCTCCATCCACTCTGTCTTCCAAAAACATATGGACTTTTCTCATTCCCAGTTATACCTGTTAACACTCTCTTTTTACCCATGAATTAATAGCATTATTGTTTCTTTCCTTCCATTTCGGTGGAGCAGGTTTGGCCAAGAGAAGAGCACATGTAACCATTCCTGTATGTCCACATGGACTCTTCTCATACTTCTGAAATGTCTGGATACGAGATCACTGTTCTGTGCTTGGTTAGTTGTGACCATAATAGTAGATGGTGCATCAAGAGTTATTTAGAATGAATTAATTAAAAGTAATGGCAAAAACCACAATTACTTTTGCACCAACCTAAGAAGATAAAGCTAATGTCGTTTGATTGTGGGTTCAGCTGGGCACAATATGCCCCATAACTTGCCTGGGATTGTTGGGAGGTCAGCAGGACAGCATGTTTGGAGCGTAGCCCAGGGAACAAACAGGGCTGCTTCTCCCTGCAGGGGATGAGGGGAAACCCTTTAGGCCACTACACAACAGTTCGGCTCAGTGTTCTAGGAGAAGGGCAGAGGGCTTGTCTGATCTATCTTACATCTGCTATTGTTGGGGGACATATAATTTCTCCTGCATCATGTTGGTGGTTGGATGTGTTTTGGCTTGGGCTTAGTTTTACCTTATATCTTGCAAGCTTTATTTCATGGAGGTTCACACCTGATCCAATTTTACCTTGCTTTTTTTTTTTGGCAGTTTTTTCTGGTTTGATCTGGTGCATCATACTCACAATTGCTGTTCTGCACTTTTTCTGAGCTACACTTTTTTCTTCATCTTTTCCTAAGCTGGATTCCCACTGGTTCTTTGCAATGACTTAGGACCAGACTGGACTGGACTGAACGGGGAATAGCAGGATTGCAATCTGGTACCTGTTTGCTGGCATTCTCGCTACCAGAAATCACAGCATCATCTTCCTTTCTCTCATGCCACCTTCCCTCTGGTGTATTCCTTTGCCTAAAGTGAGATACAACTTAAGTACAGTGGAATGTACAGATCTCAAGTGTACAATTCAGTGTTTCGGCAGTGTTCACACCCACGTAACTGATGCTTCACCCAAGGATATTTCTTATGATCCTTACCAGGCACTACACTCTATTCTCACCTAGGAAACCACTCTTCTGATTTTTTTCTCCACAGTTTAGTTTTGTGTGTTCTAGAACTTCATGTGAATTAGAAGCATGCATAATATCTTCTTTCATGTTTGTCTTCTTTTACTCATCCTAATGTCTGTGAGAATCAACTATGGTGTTATGTATGCATAAGAATAATTCATTTTCTTTTTTTTAACCAAGGAGTATTCCACTGCCACAATTTTAAATAATCCATTCACTTTTTGATGGCATTTCCATTGTTGCCATTTTGGGGTCTTGTCAATAAACACCAATAAATACCATATACATGTGGGGTTTGTGGACATTGGTTTTCATTTCTATTGCATAAAAACCTGGGAATGGAAATCATGGGTTATAGGGCAGGTTCTTGCTAAACTCTAAAGAAAAAGACCTTTTCTTCGGAAATAATTGTACAGTTCTACATTTCTACCAGCAACACATGAAAATCCTGGTGCTTCACATCCTTGCCAACGTTGGGTTGTATTGTCCGTCTTTTTAATTTTAGATGTTGAAGTGACAGTGTGATATCATCTCATTGTCATTTAACTTGGATTTTCTTAATGATTTTGGCCATTTTTATATCTTTCTTTTTAAATTGTACGTCCAAGATTTTGCCATGTTTTGATTAGGTTCTTTTTTCTTTTTATCATTGACTTCTAGATGTTCTTATATACTCAGGATATAAGGCTTTGCCAGATTTATGTATGGCAAATAGTTTCTCCCAGTTTGTGGCTTTCCTGTTTATTTTCTTAATGGCGCATTTTGTTTAGCAAAAGTTTTAAATGTTTAAATAAAATAGCTATTTTAATTTTTTTTGCTTACTAATTCCAACATTAATATAATCTCTGGGTCTGTTTCTATTGACTATTTTTTTCTCTGGGAGTAGGTCACATGTTCCTGCTTCTCTGCATGTCTTAGTCCTTTAAAAAACTATTATTAGATGCTGTACATTGTAGATTATACATTGTAGAGTGTGGATTTTACTTTGTTTCTTTGAAAGATGTTGAGTTTTCTTCTGACAGTTGATTTTGTCAAACATTTATTTTAGGCTTTGTTAGGTTGGGTCTAGAACTGATGGTAGTCTAGGGCTAAAACATATCTATTCCTAAGACGTGATTTTCTTCCTTGGATGTTCAGTGTGGTGTCTCCATTATGAACGGTTGGAGTTGTAACATCTCCCAGCACTGTGTCATTTTTGGAAATTCCATTCAGTTCACAACCCCTTACCTAGTAGCTGTTTCCTAATAAGTCTTGCAGAGTTTTCTCCAGCACATACGCAGCTTTGCATCTGGCCAAAGACACAAGGAAGAATGTTATGCAAATTTCCGGAACTCCTTTTCTACACAGCTCCCTTCTGACACTCTGCCCCATATATTCCACCTGCCTTAAAAGACTCAAACTCCAATCTTTGTTTCCTCTACCCGGTGAGAATGTTCCTCCTTTGTGTGCGTGTGTGTGTGTGTGTGTGTGTGTGTGTGCGCATGTGCACGCACGCTATGGTTTGGAAAGCGCCTAGAGGCATGAAGCTGGGGTGAATTTGGAACTCGCTGGTGGGTCCTCCTCTTCTCAGAATGACAGCCGATGAAGTCCGTGGTCCAATTTCTGTAAATAATTTTATTTCTCCATTTTATAGTTATTTACAGCAGGAGGGTAAGCCCTACATCTGTTCTTCAAACATAGATTGATATGGATGTCTCCTCCCTTTGCTTTTATCAAGGACAGTGATCTTTACCATTTTGTGGGCTTCTCTCACCTTCTGCTGAGAGGCAATCCTATGACATTTTGAGAATAGGGTGGTTGGAGAAGCATTGGTGGTTCTGACCCTTGCTGTCTGGGGACTGGGTGGGAGTTAAGTTTGACACTACCTAAGTTACTTGGTGAAAAAAAACCACAGTGCTTCCATCAGTTATTCAAACGACGACAATGATAACATCCTGTGAAACTGTCATAATGGAAAAAATAGACTCTTGATGCTTGAAAGCAATTTAAATGTATATTTTGTTGTATTGAGTTAAACATGAGAAAAGTAAAAAAAAAAATGAGACAGAGATAAATTCTTCTCTTTTTCCTCTGAATATGTACCAAATGTATATCCGTGTTTGTAATGTTTATTATTCTGATATTTGATGGATTACTCTGCTTCCACTTTTTTCCATAATTTTGTCTGTCATTGCATAGGTATTATTTTTTATAGTATTTTAGTTTTATTCTCTACAATTTCATGTGCAGAGATTGAACACCAGCAGAGGGCCATGGAATGTCCTGCCTGCAGTTTTGTGATCTGCAGGTGTTGATGGGTGACCTGAAGCCTGAAGTGAGACAGCTGGCTCAATGTGTCGTGTACCTCACACCCACAACCTTATCCTATTTGGTTATCACTGGTTTGTAAGACACACTTCTCATTCTCCCGGGGTTTTTTTTTCTGTTTTTTGTTTTGTTTTGTTTTAATTTCAGAAGCAGATGGAAGAGGTGGATATTATTATACATACACTTTATCTGTTTAATACACTTAAAGTCCTGTCAGCCTTGAGACTTGAATCTAGACAGTTAAATTTTTTGTGCAGTTGGGCAAGCCCAAAGAAAAGTGCAAAAGTGAAAACTCATGAAAAAGTGATTGAGAAGCTGCATCTATGAATCTGTAATCAGTATCTATTGAGGACTCCTAGAAAATGCAAGCTTAAAAAAGAACTCGTCTTCCCCTCTAACAATATACAGCAAAATCTTGTCACTGAGTCTTCCTAATGCATGGAAACCTTATCAGAGAAGTTACATAGGTTTGTGTTATAGAAATAGATATCCTAGATTCATATTATTGAAACTATAAAAGGTATGGCTATCCCCCACTCTATTGCATGTTAACAAGACACGCATTGTACCATTCTGTACTTCTTCCCACATTTAATCTGGAGTCTCTGATATTTCATGGATTGACTATTTTTGATCTCTCTACATGCATTGTTATTTTACCTTAACGAAACCTCCTAGAGCCCCTTATTCATCCCCCATTACCTTACCCTTCACCTCAATGGTCTGTCATTGCTTCTTAAATGAATCAGTGCAATAATCTCAATGTCCAGGAACCAGTCTACACTGCACACTTTTACAAATCTATTTTTTTCAAAATACCTGATACTTCACAAAATGCCTAGCTTCTCTCCTATTTTCCATTCTTCAGTAAATAGCAATGTCAAACTTTTGGTTGCTAAGGCTGAAAACCTGGGAGTCATGTAAGATGATTCCTCTTTCTCTCCATATCCAATACATCAGCAAATCCTGTTAACTCTCTTCATAAATATAGCCAGAATCTAACCCCTTCTCACCTCCTCCACCAATATCACTTTAGTCCAAGCCAACCTTCTCATACCTGGTCTATTACAGGATCCTGACTGGGTGATCTCATTGTCCTCTTGCTACTTTCTGACTATACTTCTTATAGCTGCCAGAAAGTTCCTTCTAAAATGTCTCTGTGGTGCTCAAAAGCCTCCAGTGATTTTCCGTCTCACTCAGAGTAAATGCCAAAGTCCTTATAATGGTCACACAATCTTCAGTCCTTCACATTCCGCGCCCCCATCTCCCGCTGGCCTTGGCTATGGCCACAACTGTCCAACCCTCAGCTCCTCCGGCATGCCTGCATGTCCCCACCTCAGGGCCTCTGCAGTCACCATTCCCACGGCCTGGGATATTTTCATTTTAGATGGCCATTGGTCTTGCTCCTTCTCTTCATGCTAGGATCTGCTCAGAGAATCTCTCCATGCCCTTCCCCTGTCTAAAACAGTCTTCCTCCCTCTTCCCTTACTCTGCTTTACTTTTTCCCATAGCACTTATTATTCTGACTTATTTTACACACACACACACACACGCGTGCACACACATAATTTATTTGCATATCCTTTGTCTCCTCTCACCAAAATTTAAGCTCGCATGGAGAAGCAGTTTATCTGTAATGTTTACTACCATGTCCCCAGCATCTAGACTAGCTCTGCACACATGATAGGCATATATGTTTGATAAATGAATTAATGGACTGATCTTTTCAGTATGTTGCTTTTTCCATGCCACATCCCAGATAAGAGCTGCTGCAGCTCATCAAAGTCTTACTCCGTAGTTTCATGGGTTTGCCCGCTCTCTGGGGCTTTGTGAGCAAGCCTCTTCTTACCTGCCCACTTTATTTCCCACTCTCAGAATCCTCTGGTCCAGTCACTCAGGCCAGGCTCCTCACTGGCCAACACACTGCAGTGACTAACATGAACATTTCTGAATACAGAAGTCACCTTGTCAAATATGTTCCTCCATTTTAAGTTTCCAAAAAAAATTAAACATAAAACTCCCCAATCATTCAGCATTCCCATTTCTGGGTATATATCTAAAAGAATTAAAATATTTGTAAACCTATGTTTATTGCAGCAGTATTTGCAGTAGCCAAGATGTGGAAGCAGGCTAAGTGTTAATTGAAGGATGAATGAATAAATAAATGTGGGTCGGGCGCGGTGGCTCATGCCTGTAATCCCAGCACTTTGGGAGGCCGAGCCAGGTGGATCACAAGGTCAGGAGATCGAGACCATCCTGGCTAACATGGTGAAACTCCAGCTCTACTAAAAATACAAAAAAATTAGCCGGGTGTGGTGGCAGGCGCCTGTAGTCCCAGCTACTCGGGAGGCTGAGGCAGGAGAATGGTGTGAACCCGGGAGGTAGAGCTTGCAGTGAGCGGAGATGGTGCCACTGCACTCCAGCCTGGGCGACAGAGCAAGACTCCATCTCAAAAAAAAAAAGAGAGAAAAAAAAGAAATGTGTTCTATACATACAATGCAATATTATTTTGCCTTAAAAAAGAAGGAAATCCCATCATATGCTACAATATGAATGAAGCTCGAGGACATTATGCTAACGGGATTAAGCTAGACACAAAAGAACAAATACTACGTGATCCCACTTACATGAGATTCCTAGAGTAGTCAAAATCGTAGAGACAGAAAGTAAAATGATGGGCAGGGGCTGGGAGTAGGGAAAATGAGAGTGGTTGCTTAATGGGTGCAGAGTTTCCGTTTTGCAAGATGAAAAGGTTCCGGAGATCTGTTGTACAACAAGGTGTGTATACTTGACACTACTGTATGATGCATTTAAAAGTGATTAAGAAGATACATTGTATGTTGTGTACTTTTTACCACAATTAAGAAAAAATGTTGGCCAGGCGCAGTGGCTCATGCCTGTAATCCCAGCACTTTGGGAGGTTGAGGCAGGAGAATGGCGTGAACCTGGGAGGCGGAGCTTGCAGTGAGCCAAGATCGTGCCACTGCACTCCAGCCTGGGCGACAGAGCAACACTCTGTCTCGAAAAAAAAAAAAAAAGAGAGAAAGAAAAAATATTTTGCTCCTTCCCAAATAGTACCCATCCTTTCAATTTCAGCTTCAGGGCTGGCAATGTTCCTTGATCATTCCTGCCTATGATTTTTTTTTTTCTTCTCTCAACTCATGTAACACTTATATTCCAGACATTCTGCGCAACACTTACTTGATTTTTTTGTAACTGTCTTATGTATGTAGATAGATGGCTTTTCCCAGGTAGACTTCAAGCTTCTCTAGGGCAGGCATCACGCTTAGGCTTTTTGTAACCTACACAAAAAATACACAAGTTGGACTATGTTACCGTTATATAATCTTTGATGAATTGAATCAGGTTGAAGATCATTCTTCTTTAAGATCTTCAGGAGACTGTGACTGGGTGTGGTGGCTCATGCCTATAATCTTAGCACTTTGGAAGGCCAAGGCAGGAGGACCACTTGAGCCTGGGAGTTTGGGACCAGTCTGGGAAACATGGCAAAACCCCATCTCTACAAAAAGTAAAAAAATTAGCCTGGCATGGTGGAGCACACCTGTAGTTCCAGCTCCTAAAGAAGCTGAGGTGGGAGGATCGCTGGAGCCCGGGAGGCAGAGGTTGCAGTGAACTGAGCTGAGATTGCACCATTGTATTCCAGCCTCGGTGGCAGAGAAACATCCTGTCTCAAAAAAAAAAAAAAAAAAAAAAAAAAAGATCTTCAGGAGACTAAATTTGCAACTATCCTTGACATCCTTGATGCTATGTTAGTGTTAACCGTGCTAAATTTTTCACTGGGCCTTCTCTTTAATAGCAAGTTGCTTTAGAAACAAATATTTCCTCCCAAACCGTCTATACATCTCTCAATTCCCTTTGCAATTGCTATGATTATTTTATTCTTGCAAATATTTGGACATTTCTGCATAAACACCCATTTAGAAATTAACCACTTGAACTTTAAGAAACTTTTGACATTAATAAAATTAAATGATGTTTTTCCTAACTCTCACTGTTCTTCCAGCAATTTTTTTAAACAATCCTATTTGGAACAGAAATAATGTCACTTCGGGAAAGAGGCATTGACATTTTCTGACCAAGACACCTTTAATAATTCATTATCACCAAATATTCCAATGTTGTTGAACTTAAAAATCAGAAAATTTAATGCCATGCTTACAGCTAACTTCTCAGTATATGAATTATTTATTTTGTGCCATTTCTGGAAGAAAAAATATGGCCCACAGTCATAGCATGAGTGTATGTATATTTAATATTTTTACTGCGCATTCATTAAAAATCAGTATTTATTCCCTAGAAAAACAGGATAGGATAAGAGTTGATTGGCTGCTACGAAGGAAAACACCGTCCCTTTTGGGATTGCGAAGCAGCCAGACACAGCAAACTGTGATGTAAGCTGGAAAGGTGGTGAATGAGGGTTTCTTGGACTTGTTTATCTTCCTCACTGAGGTCATGCAGCCTGCTGCTTCTTTGTAATTTTTTTTTTTTTTTTTTTTTTTTTTTTTTTTTGAGACGGAGTCTCGTCCTGTCGCCCAGGCTGGAGTGCAGTGGCGCGATCTCGGCTCACTGCAAGCTCCGCCTCCCGGGTTCACGCCATTCTCCGGCCTCAGCCTCCCAGGTAGCTGGGACTACAGGCGCCGGCCACCGCGCCCAGCTAATTTTTTTTTTTTTTTTGTATTTTTAGTAGACATGGGGTCCTTGTAAGTTTTATTGCAGGGGTCCCCAGCCCCAGGGCTATGGATGGGTACTGGTCTGTGGCCTGTTAAGAATCGGGCTGCACAGCAGGTGAGCGGTGGGGAAGCGAAACTTCATCTGTATTTACAGCCACTCCCCATTGCTGGCATTACTGCCTGAGCTCAGCCTCTTGTCAGATCAGCCGTGGCATTAGATTCTCATAGGAGTGCGAGCCCTGTTGTGAGCTGTGCATTTAAGGGATCTAGGTTGCGTATTCCTCATGAGAATCGAATGCCTGATGATGTCACTGTCTCCCATCACCCCCAGATGGGACTGCCTAGTTGCAGGAAAACAAGCTCAGGTTCCCTTATTCTACATGAGTTACATCAGTTGTTACAACTGATATTGTTGTAATATATTGTTATTACATTGTAATATATAATGAAATAATTATACCACTCACGTAGATAGTTGTTGTATAATTATAATAATAATAATAGAAATAAAGTGTCCAGGTACAGTGGCTCATGCCTGTAATCCCAACACTTTGGGAGGCCGAGGCGGGGGGATCACCTGAGGTGAGGAGTTTGAGTCCACCCTGGCTAACATGGTGAAACCCCACTCCTACTAAAAGTACAAAAAATTAGGCGGGTGTAAGTGGCACGTGCCTGTAATCCTGACTACTTGGGAGGCTGAGGCAGGAGAATCGCTTGAACCCAGGAGGTGGAGATTGCAGTGAGCTGAGATTGTGCCACTGCACTCCAGCTTGGGCAACAAGAGTGAAACTCTGTCTCAAAAAAAAAAAAAAGTGCACAATAAATGTAATGCACTTGAATCATCTCAAAACCATCCGCCTTCCCTGGTCCATGGAAAAATTATCTTCCATGAATTCAGTCCCTGGTGCCAAAAAGGTTGAGGATGGCTGACATAAAGGATGGGAACCTTGGTTTCACAACATAACCACCGTCAGATAATGGTGGAAAACACTCCACCTGCAAGCCAGACATCTGGTGAACACAAGCAGATACAATGTTTCAATATTTATCTCATTATCAATGAACCGACTGAGTTTCTGATTTGTATTTTTATGTACCATGAGTTAGGTTAGTATGTATCAGCCCTGGAGGACATTATGTTTTTTTCGTTGTTGTTGTTTTGTGTGGCCTTAAGGTTTTATTTTATTTTATTTTATTTTATTTTATTTTATTTTATTTTATTTTATATTATCATTATTATTGAGACAGAGTCTTGCTCTGTCACCCAGGCTGGAGTGCAGTGGTGCGATCTTGGCTCACTGCAAGCTCTGCTTCCCGGGTTCACGCCATTCTCCTGCCTCAGCCTCCCGAGTAGCTGGGACTACTAGCGCCAGCCACCATGCCAGGCTAATTTTTTTGTATTTTTAGTAGAGACGGGGTTTCCCCGTGTTAGCCAGGATGGTCTCGATCTCCTAACCTCGTTATCCACCTGCCTCGGCTACTATTATTTTTCTTGAGACAGAGTCTCACTCTGTCACCTAGGCTGGAGTGTAGTGGTGTGATCTCAACTCACTGCAACCACCACCTCCACCTCCCAGATTCAAGAGATTCTCGTGCCTCGACCTCCCTAGTAGCTGGAACTACATGTGCGCACCACCACACTCAACTAAATTTTTGTATTTTTAGTAGAGATGGGGTTTCGCCCTCTTGACCAGGCTGGTCTTGAACTCCTGTCCTCAAGCCATCTGCCTGCCTTGTCCTTCCAAAGTGCTGAGATTACAGGCATGAGCCACCAGACCCAGCCCTGACCTTAAGGTTTTAAACGTCCAATTCTAACCATGGTCCTTGGGTACTGTTGCTTTAATGGACTACACCATGACACGTCATGAAGAAGCCAAAATGACAAGACCACCAATAAGGGACATATAAACAAAGATGAACAGTTAAAATAATAAATGAGGCAGAACTTCCTGATGATTGTTCTTGAATGGAGATAAGGTGATATGCACATTAATGTAGGAAGTTCTGCTAATTTCACTTGGGATATAAGATAATGGAAGCAGCAACTAGAAAGTTGTCGGTCAGTGGCAGGATATGTAGATCCAGGACCAGGAGATGTGGATCAGGACCAGGATCCTCCAAGCCAGAGCGTCCTATGTGTGATACCCTTGCGAGAACTCACTGATACTCTCTGCACATCTGCATTCTTTTTGTCAGCTCCATATTTCTTCTCTCTGAGGCTACAGCTTGCCAGAAACGTCATGAGACCTACAAGATAAATGCTCCAAAAGGTTCCCAGAAGAAAAGACCAAGTGCATCGATCTGAAGAGTCTCAGTCTTCTAAAGTGAACGTGATTGTTATGCACCTAGAATAAGCAGCCAGATCTCCTCCTCGTATTGCAATAGCCCCACATTCCCCACACACCGTCCAAGGCTAAGTCTGACTTATGAGCGGAAGTCCTTCCTTTCAAAATGATACTGAATTGATGGTTCTCCAGTAAACCAAGACAAGAAAATAAAATCTAAGTTTTTTCTTAGACTCCCATAAAGAGAAAGACTGTCTACAAAATATGCATCTTAGGACTGTTGGTATTATAGATAGAAATGCTGACAACCAGGGTAGGAAGCTCAAGAAAGCAAGGTGGGTGTGAAGGTCAGGAATGAAGAGGACATGGTGTTTGCTGATGATAATAGGCTTGTGGAATTTCCAGAGGCACCATGATGAGGTAGTGAGAGCTGCTTCCATCTGGGCTGTAAACCTGGTCCTAACAGTGACCCACTAGCATTCTCTGGTCAAGCTACTTAAGCTATAGTACTAATATTCCTGCCCATAAGTGTCAATAATAACACCCACCTCATGGGGTGTGTGTGTGTAGTATTTGAAATGCCTTTGTCATACCGATGGGGGTTGGCAGAGACTGACATGAGAGATTCTTGTAGAAAGAAGGCAGAGATCGAGGGGGAGGAGCCAAGATGGCCAAATAGGAACAGCTCCGGTCTACAGCTCCTAGCGTGAGCGACGCAGAAGACAGGTGATTTCTGCATTTCCATCTGAGCTTTGAAGAGAGCAGTGGTTCTCCCAGCATGCAGCTGGAGATCTGAGAACGGGCAGACTGCCTCCTCAAGTGGGTCCCTGACCCCTGACTCCCGAGCAGCCTAACTGGGAGGCACCCCCCAGCAGGGGCACACTGACACCTCACACGGCAGGGTATTCCAACAGACCTGCAGCTGAGGGTCCTGTCTGTTAGAAGGAAAACTAACAAACAGAAAGGACATCCACACCAAAAACCCATCTGTACATCACCATCATCAAAGACCAAAAGTAGATAAAACCACAAAGATGGGGAAAAACAGAACAGAAAAACTGGAAACTCTAAAATGCAGAGCGCCTCTCCTCCTCCAAAGGAATGCAGTTCCTCACCAGCAACGGAACAAAGCTGGACGGAGAATGATTTTGACGAGCTGAGAGAGGAAGGCTTCAGACGATCAAATTACTCTGAGCTACGGGAGGACATTCAAACCAAAGGCAAAGAAGTTGAAAACTTTGAAAAAAATTTAGAAGAATGTATAACTAGAATAACTAATACAGAGAAGTGCTTAAAGGAGCTGATGGAGCTGAAAACCAAGGCTTGAGAACTACGTGAAGAATGCAGAAGCCTCAGGAGCTGATGCGATCAACTGGAAGAAAGGGTATCAGCAAGGGAAGATGAAATGAATGAAATGAAGTGAGAAGGGAAGTTTAGAGAAAAAGGAATAAAAAGAAATGAGCAAAGCCTCCAAGAAATATGGGACTATGTGAAAAGACCAAATCTACGTCTGATTGGTGTACCTGAAAGTGATGGGGAGAATGGAACCAAGTTGGAAAACACTCTGCAGGATATTATCCAGGAGAACTTCCCCAATCTAGCAAGGCAGGCCAACGTTCAGATTCAGGAAATACAGAGAACACCACAAAGATACTCCTCGAGAAGAGCAACTCCAAGACACATAATTGTCAGATTCACCAAAGTTGAAATGAAGGAAAAAATGTTAAGGGCAGCCAGAGAGAAAGGTCGGGTTACCCTCAAAGGGAAGCCCATCAGACTAACAGCGGATCTCTCGGCAGAAACCCTACAAGCCAGAAGAGAGTGGGGGCCAATATTCAACATTCTTAAAGAAAAGAATTTTCAACCCAGAATTTCATATCCAGCCAAACTAAGCTTCATAAGTGAAGGAGAAATAAAATACTTTACAGACAAGCAAATGCTGAGAGATTTTGTCACCACCAGGCCTGCCCTAAAAGAGCTCCTGAAGGAAGTGCTAAACATGGAAAGGAACAACTGGTACCAGCTGCTGCAAAATCATGCCAAAATGTAAAGACCATCAAGACTAGGAAGAAACTGCATCAACTAACGAGCAAAATAACCAGCTAACATCATCATGACAGGATCAAATTCACACATAACAATATTAACTTTAAATGTAAATGGACTAAATGCTCCAATTAAAAGACACAGACTGGCAAGTTGGATAAAGAGTCAAGACCCATCAGTGTGCTGTATTCAGGAAACCCATCTCACCTGCAGAGACACACATAGGCTCAAAATAAAAGGATGGAGGAAGATCTACCAAGCAAATGGAAAACAAAAAAAGGCAGGGGTTGCAATCCTAGTCTCTGATAAAACAGACTTTAAACCAACAAAGATCAAAAGAGACAAAGAAGGCCATTACATAATGGTAAAGGGATCAATTCAACAAGAGGAGCTAACTATCCTAAATATATATGCACCCAATACAGGAGCACCCAGATTCATAAAGCAAGTCCTGAGTGACCTACAAAGAGACTTAGACTCCCACACATTAATACTGGGAGACTTTAACACCCCTCTGTCAACATTAGACAGATCAACGAGACAGAAAGTCAACAAGGATACCCAGGAATTGAACTCAGCTCTGCACCAAGCAGACCTAATAGACATCTACAGAACTCTCCACCCCAAATCAACAGAATATACATTTTTGTCAGCACCACACCACACCTATTCCAAAATTGACCACATAGTTGGAAGTAAAGCTCTCCTCAGCAAATGTAAAAGAACAGAAATTATAACAAACTATCTCTCAGACCACAGTGCAATCAAACTAGAACTCAGGATTAAGAATCTCACTCAAAACCGCTCAACTACATGGAAACTGAACAACCTGCTCCTGAATGACTACTGGGTACATAACGAAATGAAGACAGCAATAAAGATGTTCTTTGAAACCAACGAGAACAAAGACACAACATACCAGAATCTCTGGGATGCATTCAAAGCAGTGTGTAGAGGGAAATTTATAGCACGAAATGCCCACAAGAGAAAGCAGGAAAGATCCAAAATTGACACCCTAACATCACAATTAAAAGAACTAGAAAAGCAAGAGCAAACACATTCAAAAGCTAGCAGAAGGCAAGAAATAACTAAAATCAGAGCAGAACTGAAGGAAATAGAGACACAAAAAACCCTTCAAAAAATCAATGAATCCAGGAGCTGGTTTTTTGAAAGGATCAACAAAATTGATAGACCGCTAGCAAGACTAATAAAGAAAAAAAGAGAGAAGATTCAAATAGACGCAATAAAAAATGATAAAGGGGATATCACCACCGATCCCACAGAAATACAAACTACCATCAGAGAATACTACAAACACCTCTACGCAAATAAACTAGAAAATCTAGAAGAAATGGATACATTCCTCCACACATACACTCTCCCAAGACTAAACCAGGAAGAAGTAGAATCTGTGAATAGACCAATAACAGGAGCTGAAATTGTGGCAATAATCAATAGCTTACCAACCAAAAAGAGTCCAGGACCAGATGGATTCACAGCCGAATTCTACCAGAGGTACAAGGAGGAACTGGTACCATTCCTTCTGAAACTATTCCAATCAATAGAAAAAGAGGGAATCCTCCCTAACTCATTTTATGAGGCCAGCATCATTCTGATACCAAAGCCTGGCAGAGACACAACCAAAAAAGAGAATTTTAGACCAATATCCTTGATGAACATTGATGCAAAAATCCTCATTAAAATACTGGCAAACCGAATCCAGCAGCACATCAAAAATCTTATCCACCATGATCAAGTGGGCTTCATCCCTGGGATGCAAGGCTGGCTCAATATACGCAAATCAATGAATGTAATCCAGCATATAAACAGAGCCAAAGACAAAAACCACATGATTATCTCAATAGATGCAGAAAAAGCCTTTGACAAAATTCAACAACCCTTCATGCTAAAAACTCTCAATAAATTAGGTATTGATGGGACGTATTTCAAAATAATAAGAGCTATCTATGACAAACCCACAGCCAATATCATACTGAATGGGCAAAAACTGGAAGCATTCCCTTTGAAAACTGGCACAAGACAGGGATGCCCTCTCTCACCACTCCTATTCAACATAGTGTTGGAAGTTCTGGCCAGGGCAATCAGGCAGGAGAAGGAAATAAAGGGTATTCAATTAGGAAAAGAGGAAGTCAAATTGTCCCTGTTTGCAGACGACATGATTGTTTATCTAGAAAACCCCATTGTCTCAGCCCAAAATCTCCTTAAGCTGATAAGCAACTTCAGCAAAGTCTCAGGATACAAAATCAATGTACAAAAATCACAAGCATTCCTATACACCAACAACAGACAAACAGAGAGCCAAATCATGAGTGAACTCCCATTCACTATTGCTTCAAAGAGAATAAAATACCTAGGAATCCAACTTACAAGGGATGTGAAGGACCTCTTCAAGGAGAACTACAAACCACTGCTCAATGAAATAAAAGAGGATACAAACAAATGGAAGAACATTCCATGCTCATGGGTAGGAAGAATCAATATCGTGAAAATGGCCATACTGCCCAAGGTAATTTACAGATTCAATGCCATCCCCATCAAGCTACCAATGACTTTCTTCACAGAATTGGAAAAAACTACTTTAAAGTTCATATGGAACCAAAAAAGAGCCCGCATCGCCAAGTCAATCCTAAGCCAAAAGAACAAAGCTGGAGGCATCACACTACCTGACTTCAAACTATACTACAAGGCTACAGTAACCAAAACAGCATGGTACTGGTACCAAAACAGAGATATAGATCAATGGAACAGAACAGAGCCCTCAGAAATAATGCCCCATACCTACAACTATCTGATCTTTGACAAACCTGAGAAAAACAAGTAATGGGGAAAGGATTCCCTATTTAATAAATGGTGCTGGGAAAACTGGCTAGCCATATGTAGAAAGCTGAAACTGGATCCCTTCCTTACACCTTATACAAAAATCAATTCAAGATGGATTAAAGATTTAAACGTTAGACCTAAAACCATAAGAACCCTAGAAGAAAACCTAGGCATTACCATTCAGGACATAGGCGTGGGCAAGGACTTCATGTCCAAAACACCAAAAGCAATGGCAACAAAAGCCAAAATTGACAAATGGGATCTAATTAAACTAAAGAGCTTCTGCACAGCAAAAGAAACTACCATCAGAGTGAACAGGCAACCTACAACATGGGAGAAAATTTTCGCAACCTACTCATCTGACAAAGGGCTAATATCCAGAATCTACAATGAACTCAAACAAATTTACAAGAAAAAAACAAACAACCCCATCAAAAAGTGGGCGAGGGACATGAACAGACACTTCTCAAAAGAAGACATTTATGCAGCCAAAAAACACATGAAAAAATGCTCATCATCACTGGCCATCAGAGAAATGCAAATCAAAACCACTATGAGATATCATCTCACACCAGTTAGAATGGCAATCATTTAAAAAGTCAGGAAACAACAGGTGCTGGAGAGGATGTGGAGAAATAGGAACACTTTTACACTGTTGGTGGGACTGTAAACTAGTTCAACCATTGTGGAAGTCAGTGTGGCGATTCCTCAGGGATCTACAACTAGAAATACCATTTGACCCAGCCATCCCATTATTGGGTATATACCCAAATGACTATAAATCATGCTGCTATAAAGACACATGCACATGTATGTTTATTGCAGCATTATTCACAATAGCAAAGACTTGGAACCAACCCAAATGTCCAACAATGATAGACTGGATTAAGAAAATGTGGCACATATACACCATGGAATACTATGCAGCCATAAAAAATGATGAGTTCATGTCCTTTGTAGGGACATGGATGAAATTGGAAACCATCATTCTCAGTAAACTATCGCAAGAACAAAAAACCAAACACCGCATATTCTCACTCATAGGTGGGAATTGAACAATGAGATCACATGGACACAGGAAGGGGAATATCACACTCTGGGGACTGTGGTGGGGAGGGGGGAGGGGGGAGGGATAGCATTGGGAGATATACCTAATGCTAGATGACGAGTTAGTGGGTGCAGCGCACCAGCATGGCACATGTATACATATGTAACCTCCACAATGTGCACAGGTACCCTAAAACTTAAAGTATAATTAAAATAATAATAATAATAATAGTAATAATAATAATAAAAAAGAAGGCAGAGATCTTGAACTCCTGACCTCAAGTGATCCACTTGCCTCGGTCTCCCAAAGTCCTTGCATTACAGGTGTGAGGCTCAGCACTTTGGGAGGTTGAGGTGGGTGGATCACCTGAGGTCAGGAGTTCAAGAACAACCTGGCCAACATGGCAAAACCCCGTCTCTACTAAAAATACAAAAATAACTGGCCAGGCAGGGTGGTGCATTCCTGTAATTCCAGCTACTCAGGAGGCTGAGGCAGGAGAATCACTTGAGGCTGGGAGGTAGAGGTTGCAGTGAGCCAAGATCTTGCCACTGCACTCCAGCCTGGGCAACAGAGAGAGACTCCATCTCAAAAAATAAACAAAAAAGAAAGAAGGTAGAGAGATGAATGATGTCAGCAGCGTCTACTCCAGCACGAGAAGGATTCTGCATCCCCCCCACCCAAAAAAAATCCAACCTACTCTTCACTGAACTGCTGATTGTTTAGTGATAAAACTGCTTGATCAGTGTTTTCTCTCTATGAGACATCTTTGACCCCTCTCTTATTTTTCTTTGACCTTTTCCAATTGTGCAGAAACTGTTTTTGGAATCTAATATGTACCATGGATCATGCTGGGTGCTGGGGACATGATACCTAAGGATGGAGTTTTTGGCTCTCAAGCTGGCAGAAAAGTAACTAGACATATTGTGCCATGTGTTTCTTCTGCCCAGCAAAAAAACTAATAAAAAATATTTTCCCAAAGTCTGTTTGATTTTTAATTCAGGGTCCTTAGATTTGTTTATTTATCTCTTTATCAATGTATTCATTCATTTTCAATTTTTATTGTGATAGAATACACCACATAACATTTTTTTTTTTTGAGGTGGAATTTCGCCCGGGCTGGAGTGCAGTGGTGCGATCTCTGCTCACTGCAACCTCTGCCTCCCGGGTTCAAGCAATTCTTCTGCCTCAGCCTCCCGAGTAGCTGGGATTACAGGTGCCTGCCACCACACCTGTCTAATTTTTTGTTGTTGTTGTTGTAATTTGAGGAGACATGGGGTTTCACCCTGTTGGCCAGGCCTGTCTCAAACTCCTGACCTCAGGTGATCCACCCACCTCGGCCTCCCAGAGTGCTGGGATTATAGGCGTAAGCCACCACGCCCGGCCAACATTTACCATCTTAACCATTCCTAAGTGTGTAGTTTAGTGACATCAAGTACGTTCACATTGTTCTGCAATCATTGCCATCATCCATCTCCAGAGCTCTTTTCATCTTGCAAAACTGAAACTATGTACCTATTAAATAATAACTCCCCATTCCCTCCCATTCCCAGGCCCTGGCAACCGCCATTCTACTTTCTATCTATATAATTTTGATTACCTTAGGTATATCATATAAGTGGAATCGTATTGTATTTGTCATTTTGTGATTGGCTTATTTCACTCAGGATAATGTCCTCAAGGTTCATCTATGTTGTAACATGTATCAGCATTTCCTCTCTTTTTTAAGACTGAATGATATTCCATTGTCTGTATATACTACATTGTCATTGTGCTATCCATTCCTCCATTGATGGACTTCTGGATTGCAGCCATATTTTAGCTACTGTGAACAATGCTGTTATGAACACGAGTGTACAGATTTCTCTTTGAAATTCCGCTTTCAATTCTTTTGTGCATATACTGAGAAGAGGAATTGTTGTATCATAGGGTGTCTTGGTCCGTTCAGGCTATTATGACAAGACACCATAGATCGAGTGTCTTACAAACAACAGAAATTGATTTCTCACAGTTGAGGAGGCCAGACATCTGAGATCAGGGTGCCAGCACAGTAGAGTTTGGGTGAAGGCTGTCTTCTGGTTTGCAGACTACTGACTTCTTGTTATATTTTCACCGCAGGAAAAGAGGGGGAGAGAGCTCTCTGGGGTCCCTTTATAAGGGTATTAATCCCCCTCATGAGGGCTCTGTCCTCATGACCTAAGAACCCCACTTCCTAATACTGTCATATTGGAGGTTAGGTTTTGAAGATATAAATTTTGAAGAGACACAAACATTCTGTGCATTGCAGATGGTAATTTTAAGTTTTTGAGGAACTAGCGTAATGTTTTCTACAGTGACTATACTCATTCAATTGGTAAGAGCAAATATATATAAACCTCTTTGCTCACTTATTTGATCACATAATTTGATTATCTGAAGTGGGAATTTCTTTTCTTTCCTTACGGGATTATTTTTCTTAATTTGTTCTGATACATGTTTATTCTATTGTGTGACTTAGATGTAAAATAGATGGAAGTGACACTCAAATTCCCAATTCATTGAGGATTTCCTTCCTGCCACCATCTTGTCTACACTCCTGTTTCTTACAAAATCACTGTCTCTCCTCTCCTCCCGTGCACTTGATTGTCCCCCTTGCCTGTTTTTTCTTTGCTCGGCACTCATCTTCAGTTTACCAAACTCTATACTTTTCACAGAGACTCTGTCCTTCTCCCTGTCCCTCTAGTAATGTTTCAGAAGTTTGCCTCCTACATTTATTCACTGATGACAGTCACCTGGTCATGCTAAGGTGCCTGTTAGCATTCTTGATTTGCCCCACTTTATGTTGGAGTAAATTCAGCCACCAAGCCATCAGCCAACACCAGGCTGTACCCTGTTTCCCATATTTAGACAGATATTTGATTTCTTGATATATCTTGATGTTACATTGATATATCTTGATATAATGTTGAATTAGTATAATAGTAATTAATCAGGTCTCTTCCTTACGGGAAGATTAAACAATGTTTGTAAAGCAGCTAGCATAGTGCATGGTAGGTTCAATGCGCAATAGATGTGGGTCCTTTATGTCATTTTTAATAGCATATGACGGTGCATAATGTAGCTTTCAGGATCACGTGGGCCAAGCAGATTCCGAGTCCTCTTAGATACTGTGCTCAAGAGCACTACCTCATGGGCCTCATCTGAACTGCAGGAGAGAGGGCCTTTGAAAGAAAGGATTCTGGCATCAGTCATTCTTCCGAGGTTTAAAATCTGTCTCTGTTGCTAAGTAGCTTTGTGACACTAAGAAAGTCACAAGTCTTAATCTCTGTGCCTCAGTTTCCCTATCTGAAGGTTCTGACAGTAACTGTTCTAGGATTACTATGAAGATTAAGTGGGATAATTTACATAAAGCATTTTGCAGAGGGATGGACACAGAGTAAATGCTTAATATATATTTTAAACTATTATCTAATAAGCTTAGTGATGGCTCTCCAGTTGAAAACTCTGGCTAACAGTAGGTTTTTATTTTTACTATATACAAGTAATTTTTTTTTTTTGAGATGGAATTTCGCTCTTGTTGCCCAGGCTGGAGTGCAATGGCACGATCTCAGCTCACTGTAACCTCCGCCTCCTGAGTTCAAGCAATTCTCCTGCCTCAGCCTCCTGAGTAGCTAGGATGACAGGCATGTGCCACCATGCCCAGCTAATTTTTTGTATTTTTAGTAGAGACAGGGTTTCTCCATATTGGTTGTGCTGGTCTCGAACTCCCGACCTCAGATGATCCGTCTACCTCGGCCTCCCAAAATGCATTTTTTAAAGGAAGTAGAAGAATGCAAGCAAGTGTGCCCAAACTTAAAGCTATAACTACAAGTACGTCTATGTAGCTCAATCAACTAAAAATATTGATAAAATGCCTGCAATATGCAAGTTGTCTTTTTCTAGAAAAGGCAAAGGGACATTAGTCAATATCCCTGCCCTTACCCAGTTTCCCATTTAGTTGGAGAGATTAGCCATATAGACAAAGATAAAAAACAATGTCACAGTGACTAGGAAGAGGGCTAAATTCTGCCCTTATTGTCTCTGTCTTACCATGTAAATGCAGAAGTAATTGTAGAAGTTTTCTGGATAGAAATGTTTTACCAGATGGATTTTTCCTTTCTTCTTTCTGTTTTTCCATGAAATGATAATTTGAGGATCAATACACAGCTTTCTCCAAAAATCTCAAAGTTATCCTATAAGGTTCAAGTTCCAGGGCAAGAGACATTCTGGGGCAGTATTGTGTGTGCATGTCTTTTTAAAATTCTTTCTTATGAAAATGTACAAACATATGCAAAATAGAATAGTAACATGAACCTCCACATTCCCACTACACAGATCCAGCCATTATCAAGGTTGCATCACGTTTGCCCCATCTATCCTTTTTCTCCCCCTTAATGAAGTATTTAAAACAGATCCCCCCAGGCACCTGTCATTGCATTCTTACGTATTCAGGATGTATCTTGTCACACAAGCCGTCCCTACTGCCAAATGATGCAAATGTATCATGGGCCTTAATGGGGGAAACTTACAAGTGGAGAAGCAGCAGAGTGCCTGACAAATTCCCTCCTCTCAAAGTTTCATGCTGTAAGCCAGGCATGGATGGCCAAAGTTTCAGGAGACAGGGCAGTCAGGAGAGAGAGCCCTGCTTCCTCTTTGTGTTACCTGGGGTTATATGAGTGAGCATAAGGGGAGGTGGGTGCACATACCTAGTTTCTTCAAATAACAAGAAATATATCAAAGAATTTCCAGGCCTAGGAATAACTTGAGGCATGCTGAGGGCCAACATCTGCCTGCAAGGGCCTGGAACCAGTCTTGCTTGTCAGGAATGTGAACATTAGACTAAGGCCTCTGTGCCTCCTGCGGATGGGCCCGGGCTAGCTGAGCCAGGGTGATTAAGCCACTAAGACCAGGAAGGAAACGTGCCTCTAAGAGCATCCAGATTTTCTTCTCATTGAATCTCTAAGAGATAAGGACATTTTCTTAGAGAACCACAATGCCATTATTACACCTAACACAAAGATAGCATCTTTGATATCATGTTATGCCTAATCCATAATCAAATTTCCCCAATTAGGGGTTAAGATCACAGTTGAGACTCATTTTTAGGGCATGAAATGAATTTTGTACATCAATATCAAGATCAAAAAAGAGTTTAAAAGATCAGAGTGCATCAGAAATAGTAAGAATACTTTTTGCAAAATATTGTTTCCCTTATATATAAATGTACTGGGTTTGAGAAACACTGTTTTAGGGAATTTCACGCTAATCCCTCTGTCCTGCTTTTCTGCATCCTGTCTCTACAACTAATATTTAATTTAATCTCTTAGTATGACAAAATGAGACCAAACTTTACCCTAAGTATTTGTTACTGGGATTTCTAAAAGCAAATTAGTTATTATTTCATTAGATTAATAATTGACAAAGTGGTAAAGAGTATGAATCAAGTAGTCACAATCATAGCATATTTCATATCAATTACCAAGCCTTTCTCTTCTTTTTCATCCACCTGGAAAATCTAAAGTAGTGTTGGAAGAAGCCTGGAGCATAGCCATTTGAGCTTACAGTTTCAGATGTGGTATTAAGGATAATATGGAGGTGAAAGGTTTGGATCAGGGCTTCAGTGCCCACTCTAATTTTGTGTTCTCACGGTGGTAAGTAAGATCTCAGAACAGTTCTGTACCCAGATGGAGTCCAGCCCATATTTACAATGAGACTTAAATGTCCATGATATTAAGAAATTGCCTTGCCTGGTAGTTCATTCTGTAATCCAAAGATGAGGGGAAGGTCGCTGTATCAGCTTACTAGGGCTGCCATAATAAAATATCTTAGCTGGGTGGCTTAACACAGTGGACATTAAGTTTTCAACAGTTCTATGAGTCAGACATCGAGGTGTCCGCTGGGTCAATGTCTCACCAAAGTCTCTAGGGAAGACACCTTCCTTGCCTCTTCCAGCTCCTGGTGGCCCGGAGCCCTCCAAGGCTTGTGTGATGGTTAATAGTAGTTGTCAACTTGATTGTATTGAGGGATGCCTAGATGGCTGGTGAAGTGTTATTTCTGGGTGTGTCTGGGAGGGTGTTGCCAGAGGAGATTGATGTTTGAGTGGGTGGACTAGGAGAGGAAGACCCACTCTCTATGTAGATAGGCACCACCCAATCTGCTACCAGCATGGCTGGAACAAGGCAGGCAGAAGGGGGATCCGTTTGCTTGCTGAGTCTTCTGGCTCTTTTCCTTCTTCCCTTGCTGGATGCTTGCTTTTGCTCCTCCTGGCCTTGGACCTCAGACTCCAGGTTCTTTGGCCTCTGCACTCTGGGACTTGCACTTGTGGGTTTCAGGGGTGCTCTTAGGCCTTTGGCTGCAGACTGAAGGCTGCAATGTTGGCTTCTCTGGTTTTAAGGCTTTTGGACTTGTACTGAGCCACTACCAGCTTCTCTGTCTTTCCCCAGCTTGCAGACAGCCTATCATGGCACTTCATCTTGTTATTGTGTGAGCCAATTCCCCTAATAAACTCCCTTTCATATATACACATATTTTATTGGTTCTGCCCCTCTAGAGAACCCTGACTAATCCAACTTGTGACAGTATAACCCCTATCTTTGTGACCCTTTTCACATAGCCTTCTTTCCTGTGGGTGTCTGTGTCTCTCTGTGTCCCCCCCTTTTCTTACAAGGATGCTTGTCATTGAATTTAGGACCCACCCTAATCCAGTATGAGCTTGTCTTCATCCTCAATTAATTATATTTCCAAATAAGGTCATATTCTGGGGTTCTGGGTAGATATACGTTTTGGGGGAATGCTATTTAATCTACTACAATTACAAATGGGAGATCATGGGTGATGAGAAAGACTTGAAGCATTGATTCCATGATTGTCCCAAATGGCTACTCCAGGCTGTCTTGTCAATGAGAAGACTGGATTTAATTAGTCTGGGTATTAATGCTGGACATCAGCATTTTTAAAGCTCTCCAGATTATTCTAACATGCAGCCAAGGATGATAATCGATGGGTTCTATGTTTCGTGAGATGTCTTCAGTAGAGTTTGGGGATCCAAGATCTTTTCCTGTATACGAGTACTGAGACTTCACAGTCTCTTGCCTGTGGTTCTAAACTCTTAGCCTTTCACAATGTAGAATATTTTCAGCCTCTTTCATCCATCTCTTCATCTATGTATGACGTGAACAATAAATTCAGAAGCCAATTATAACACCCCAAAATTATAAGTGAAGACAAATAAAAATAATGGTTGAAGAATAGCTCATTTTTCTTTAGACTCATTTTCACTATGAAAGGTTGTCAAACTCAACTGCATTCATAAAAAAATTCCTCAAATTTTTATTAATATCTTTTTGACAAGTTGTTCATACTGTGATATTTATGAAACAGCAGGAACTTATTTCGGAGTGACAATTTTGTCTGTTCTTCTGTTCTGAATGTATAAAAAAAAAAACCCTGAAATATGTGCAGAAAACATCCTTAAGACATTTGAAGAGAATGAAATAAATTCAATGGCAAAATGTACTTTCAAATATGGAATTTATAGTTAATCTCATTGTTTAGGCAAATGTCAATATTATTGAAGATTATTATTGCCTAGGGAATTCTGGATTTGTTTTGGTGGGGTGGGTCCTTAGTAAACTGGGTTTAATCCACTTTGATGCCAGAAAGCCTAGATTAAAAGTTAAATATACAGGTAATAATCTTTGTATCTTATTCAGTGAAATGTGGTAGGTCAGTGTTCTTTGAAATGGCTGAACTTGTCCTAATTTAGACAAATGAGAGTTCAGGTGGTATAACTCTTTTAAAGCATAAAAAACAAAGCTGAGATTCCAGGTGTATTAGTCCGCTTTCACACTATGGGTAAAGACATACCTGAGACTGGGCAGTTTACAAAAGACAGAGGTTTAACTAGACTTACAGTTCCACATGGCTGGAGAGGCCTCACAATCATGGTAGAAGGCAAGGAGGAGCAAGTCATGTCTTACATGGATAGCAGCAAGCAGAGACAGAGAGAGCTTGTGCAGGAAAACTCCCTCTTATGATAACCGTCAGATCTCGTGAGACTTACTCCCTATCATGAGAACAGCAAGGGAAATACCTGCCCCTTTGATTCAATTACCTCCCACTGGGTCCCTTTCACAACATGTGGGAATTCAAGATGAGATTTGGGTGGGGACACAGCCAAACCATATTACCAGCTGAGTTCTAAAATAAACTGCAGAGTAAGTTTGTCCTTGGAGTGTCAGTCCATCAGCTCACCTGATCCTTCTGGCTGTGGAATGTCACCCTACATGTGTATTAAGAGGATTTTCAAAGATATTTTTGTAAGTTTTCCCAACATTGCAAGAACTGATATTGTTTAGGAACAAAGTCTATCTGCTCAAGGTAATAGACAGAGGCTGAAAAAGCCCAGGTTTGGATTCAATCACTAAAAGTTAATACAGTCATGTGGCAAATCAGGATGTTTCAGTCAATGATGGATGGTGTATACGATGGGGGTCCCATAAGACTATAATGGAGCTGAAAAATTCCTATTGCCTAATGTCATAGCACAATGTGTTTGTGGGGATACTGGTATAAACAAACCTACTGCACTGCCAATCGTATAAAAGTGTACAGTAATGTCCTAGGCCTTCACATTTACTTACCACTCATTGGCTCATCAAAAGCAACTTCCGCAATTTCCATTCCCGCCAGCCCCATTCATGGGAAGTCCCCTATACAACTGTATCACTTTTTATCTTTTTTTTTTTTTTTTTTGAGACAGTCTCACTCTGTCATCCAAGCTGGAGTGCAGTGGCATGATTACATCTCTCTGCAGCCTTGACCTCCAGGGCTCAGGTGATCCTCTCACCTCAAGCCTTCTGAGTAGCTGGGACTACAGGCATGCACCACCACACCTGGCTAATGTTTGTAAGTTTTTTTTTTTTTTGAGACAGAGTCTCGCACTATTGCCCAGGCTGGAGTGCAGTGGCGTGATCTCAGCTCACTGCAAGCTCCACCTCCCAGGTTCAAGTGATTCTCCTGCCTCAGCCTCCCAAGTAACTAGGACTACAGATGCCTGCCACCATGCCCGGCTCATTTTTTGTATTTTTAGTAGAGATGGGGTTTCACTGTGTTAGCCAAGATGGTCTCAATCTCCTGACCTAATGATCCGCCCACCTTGGCCTCCCAAAGTTGCCAGGATTACAGGCGTGAGCCAACGTGCCCGGCTAATTTTTGTTTTTTTTTTTTTAGTAGAGACGGGGTTTCACCATGTTGCCCACCTAGGCTGGTCTCGAACCCCTGGGCTCAAGCGATCTGCCCACCTCAGCCTCCAAATTGTTGGGATTACAGGCGTGAGCCACCATGCCTGGGCTTTTTATCTTCTATACCATGTTCTTACTGTACATTTTCTATGTTTACACAGGTTTTGATACACAGATACTTGCCATTGTGTTACAATTGCCTACAGCTTTCAGAGCAGTTGCATGGTGTAGTTTTTTGTAGCCTAGGAGCAATGGGCTATGCCATACAGCCCCAGTGTGCAGTAGGCTCTACCATCTAGGTTTGTGTAAATTCACCCTATGGTTCGCATAACAAAATCACCTAATAACGCATTTCTCAGAATGTATTCCTGCCATTAAATGACACATGACTGGACATCAATGGCCCTGTAAGTAGGCTATAGGGCTTCGTAAAACCTGGGAAACACATGTTTCTTTCTTTATTTTCCAAACAATCTGTTGTGCTTACAAAACTTACTCTATTTTCTTTATAGCCCAGAAGCTGATTCGTTTGTGCCATTTTATGTTTAGACTACAATGACTTCAGCTTCCAGGGATGCAATCGTTGCTGGGAAAACTCATCCTTGGTCATAGGAAATAATACATTAAATGTTTTGTCTTACAATACACTCTATCTGAGATTACTACAGACCCAAACAGACACCTAAGTACCATCCTTCACCCACGGCCTCCTGCTGGCTTCATCCTGCTGTTATCATCAGGAAGCAGCTCGGTGCCGTATACTTAATGGCCTGGTTCGTGGAAGTAACTGAAGCTTCTCTAAACAGAGGATTCTAATTTTAATGTTGTACTTAATTTTGCTCTTTTCATCTTCGAGTGGTAAAATAAAGAGCAGATTAATCCTTCTCAGGATGGCATTACTGATTTGGTAGTCTTGAAGGAGAGGAAATACACTTCATTTAATGGTACTACTATATCTTCATTTACTCACCATCTGATATGGTTTGGCTCTGTGTCCCCACCCAAATCTCATCTTGAATTGTAGTTCCCATAATTCCCACATGTTGTGGGAGGGACCCAGTGGGAGATAATGGAATCATGGGGGAAGTTTCCCCCATACTGTTCTTGTGGTAGTGAA
Organism: Homo sapiens; assembly: GCF_000001405.40. Lineage (NCBI taxonomy): Eukaryota > Metazoa > Chordata > Mammalia > Primates > Hominidae > Homo > Homo sapiens. The sequence goes on along the minus strand of NC_000010.11, from coordinate 7,047,879 downwards.
TAAATCTCACAAGATCTGATGGTTTTAAGGGGTTTCTGCTTTTATTTCGCTCTCATTCTTCTCCCTTGCCACTGCCATATAAGAAGTGCCTTTCACCTTCTGCCATGATTGTGCAGCCACATGGAACTGGGAGTTCATTAAACCTCTTTTTCTTCCCAGTCTCTGGTATATCTTTATCAGCAGTATGAAAACAGACTAATACACCATCCTTCTGGTGGCCCCTGAAGCCCCTGAAAATAAGAAATATTTCATTTGACCCAGCGTTCAGAGGGACAAATTGAGGAAGACCGTAGGAACCAATGATTTGTTCAAGGTTATGTAATAGGTACAAGGAGCCCAAAGAACAGCAGTTGCTTTTCTCCAAAGTGCAAGTGTAGAAATACACTAGTCTTAGGAAGCAATTGAGCTCCAAAAACCAACCCCAAGACTATTCTCCTCAACCTCTGCAGCTGAGTTTGAAGAAAAAGACTTCACCTAGAAAGAGTAGATCAAGAACCAGAGGAAATACTGGGTTTAGAGTTCGAGCTGTAAATAAGAAAAATGGCTTTCTTGTCATTTTCTCCCTTTTAATTGCTATTGCTGGTTGCCACATAAATTCAGTTGGTGGCTGGGGATATTGGAGATAATATTTCTTTCTTGCTTCTTTTTCTTTTTTGCTTGCTTCTATTCTAGCACTGAGGAAAGTGACAAGTCTGGGTTTATATGGGGTTTTGGACATGGCCACAATTTTAGTTTAGCAACTAGAGAAAGATTTTACAACTTTTGACTCCAATGAAAACAGCAAGGAGAGCAGACACCAGCACAGATCAGTCCCTGGTGGCCTCATTTGGGAACGCTGTGTGAGGGTCCCACAAACATGAGCACCTCCTTGTGTGACCCCTCCCCCAGCCAGGGGCTTCACAATGAACAACACTAATGTGTAGCAGAATCAGTAGATTCCCCAAGATATTTTTCTTGGTTCAGTAGCTAAAGTCAGCCAACCTACAAACCAACCTACCAGTAGACCAAAACTCTTCTATTTTCTGCCACTGGCAGAGTCATCTCAGATGATAAGCACCATGAGAGGCATCGTTCTGAAACCAAAGCACAAAAACATGACACTTAAGTGAAGGACAGACAGCCAGAAAGACTGCCTATTGACTGAATCAACCACATACTCTATGCAGTCAAACATGTGCATTAGATACGTGAAGATTGGCATGGATCTCAAGAATTAGAGAATTATTAGAGAATGGAGATGGAGCAATGCACTAGTTGATTGCTTTTCTTTTGTTAACAAGTTCATGTTATATATTTAATATAATATGTATATGTATTTAAGTATGGAGGTATAAGGGGAAGTGGAATTAAGAATGACTGCTTAGCTGAAGTGTGGTGAAGGTTTCAGGAAACCATAGAGCATGTGGGGAGGTAGGAAGGACTCACCACAAGTTGCAAAGTAGGCCAGGAAAGAGGAAGGGAAGGTCAGGAGGCCTAGCAAGTTGCAAAAGCTCTTCACACCTAAGAACCAAAATACAAGTAGAACGAGTTGCAGACCAAACCCTCAGTTGATGACCAAACCCTCGGTTGATGAGTTTTGCAAAGCAATAGTGAAGTGGCTTAAGTCTATTGAGCAAACAAAAGGCTATAAGAGCTTCCCTAGAGAGCTACACTTGAGAGGGTGGGTAGAGCTTTAGGGAAGTGTGGAAATGTCTGGATTAATTTTACAGGGATTAGGAAAAGAGTAGAATTACAGGCTTCCACAAAACCTGTTCCTGAATTAGAGGACTGTCCAGTGCATACTGTAACCAAGGTCGGCTTGGGTAGGTGGCTTAGCCTCAGGATGCAGGGGCTGGATCTCTGGAAGGCACAGACTGTGTGGCATTTCAGAGGGGCTCTGACTCTGTCAAATGCTCCTTTGAGCCATTTTCCAATAGACAGTTGGAATCGGCATTCAACAGAAAGTTCCCTTAGACCAGGATTGGGATTTCTGAGGCCCCAGCAAGTAATACATCTCTTCCTTAAGGAGCAACTAGATTGTACTAGATTATTTTAACGGTCAAACTCAAGAATGTCAGTACGTGGGTGTTGAGGTCTTTAGGCCAAGTTATAGAAGAGATTTGTGTGACGTTGGCAGAATAACCCAAGGTACTTCTTGGAGGTTTCATTTATGTTTGTTGCTGATATTTTATTTATACAAGGCCACTTATAGAATTGTTTTTTTGTTGGGAGGGGGGTCCATAACCACAGAAGAATATGTGAATGAAGTTTAGGGGATCTATGAATTTCATGAAAGTATCTGAGAAATTTTGCATGTATTTTTTGGAGGGAAGAAATGCTTGTTGCTTTCATCTGAGGAAGTGACCTCAAGTGTATATGCAGATAGGAACACCAGTGGGAAGAGAGGTTCCAGTGAGAATGAGGGTACGGGGGGGCCTGCCATGATGTTCCAGACAAAGGCAAAGGATGAACTCCAGAGTATTCTGGAAAATGTATTTTAAATCTAGAGGACTATTTCTCAAAGGTTTCTGATGAGTTTTAGATATACACTCATCCTGTGCTGGACAGGTTGTGTGCATGTATCTCTTCAATGTGAGATTCTGGTGCCTGATTTTTCCACTTGCTCTAGGAATCTCTAAAGTTAATGTTTTATAACTATTTTGTTTATAATTATTATAGTTATTCTGAAGCCAAAGTTGTCACCTTTCTGGGATATATACTGGGGCCCCTGCTCTTAACACTAAATGTGGCTGGAGGACAGGAGTCTGAAGCTCCCTGGAAAGACATTGCAATGTCACAATCCCCTGCTTCAGTGATTGCATGCGGCAGTTCCCCAAGGATTCTCCCATGCGTCAGGATGCCATCATCACTCCTTATCCAGTGGTTGCCAGTGGAGAGCCAAGGCAACGCTTCCCTGCTGATGCTGAACACGGTTCTTTCTTCCCTTTCTCTTTCTCATTATCCCCTTTTTCTCTCTTTCTCTGGCTGTCTCTCTCCCCTCTGTCACCCAGAAGGAGCAGTTTTGAGTCTTCTTGTCTGGATTCCTCTCCACTCCACTCTCCTCCTCTTCTCGGGCAAAGTGAGGGGCTTGGAGTTTCAGGGGTGATGCCAACAGCAGTGAATCACACAGGAGGCAAGTAAGAGGGAATCTCACTTTGGGCAAGTCCCTTCCCCTCCTTAGGCCTGTTTCCTAGTCTGGAAAACAGGATAATCTCAGTACCTCCCTGATAGGCTGTGGGGAGCACTACTCAATGTGATCATATTAACATAGTGATAAGGGTAGGGTGTGTCACATAGTAAGCGGTACCTACCCAGTAAGCATTGTCATCATTATCACGATTACTATTCAGACCCCTATTCCATGCCAGGCACTGTCCTAGGCACCAAGGACATACTGAAGAACAAGACAGAAAAACTCCACGCCCTCCTGCAGTTTACAAGCTGTTGTGCAGGTGTGTGTTGGAGGAGTTTGATTTACACTTGGATAAAGGGCTGCACAGCAAATGAGGAAAGGCCATTTCATTTCCTCCTCCTTTTTCTTCTGGAAAAACACCAAAGCCCTGGGAGCAGCAGGCTTCCCGTGAGCTCTGCCTGCTGGGGCTGTGATGTCCTATGCCTGGGGACACTGGTGGGGATGACTCAAGGGCAGCATTCAATGGGTTGCCCTCCGGGACCCGGGCAGATGCCTGGTCACTTGCTGAGCCATGAAGTTGGCTGTTGGTGCACAAGGCTGCTGACTTCCTTACGGACGGATTCTGCCAGAGAGCACAGGCGACATCAAAGCAGAAACTCCAAAAATAATAACGCCACCTTTTAGGGAGAGTCATCTCCGTGGAGTTACTCAGCTGGGTACTTTGTACAAACACTGTTAATTTTCACAATAACCCCATTAGGTAGGTAATGTGATTGCCATTTTATAGACAGGGAAACTGGGAGAGTGAGAGGTTAACTGGCTGGTCCACGTTCATGCTGCTAATGAATGGTGAAGAAGGTTTCCAAACCCAGGTCGGACTGACTTTGAACCTGTGTGCTTCCCGATATACTGCATTTAAATTTTTAAAAAAATATTTCGGATGACCAGCTCTTTAGGAAATTTCACTTCTGAGCAGGCACCCCTTGACCTCTGCACTCACCTGGGCCAAAGCTGCTTGGATGACAATTTCATTAGGATGAAAATGGGCAGGACCCAGCTGGGAGCCTTCCAAATGACCAGTGTCATTATTGCTTGAGAATCTTTGCTGTGACATAGAAGACAGCATAGCCCTAAACTGTCTGACTGCATGCACACTCACAAACACACTCACACACACACACATGAACACACAAGCTCTCACACATGCTTATGCATACACACTTGCCCACACAAAGTCACCCACACATGCACACTCAAACACACATGCGCGCACACACACACTCACACATGCTCATGCATGCACACTTGCACACACAAAGGCACATTCACATGCACACTCAAACACACATGCACACACATACACACTCACAAACTCATGTACACTTGCACACACACAGGCACACTCACAGGCCTTGTGGAGACATTTGGGGATGTGTTAATCACAATTTTTGAAGTGGAAGACAGGAAGGAGGGCAGGCAGGCCCCTGGACACAGGCTTCTGACACAAGGTTGGCCCCTGCCCAGTGGGTGTGGACTCTAGAGAGCAGGGCTGGTCGATTGAAGGGCCTTCATCTCCCTAGGGTTACCTCCTGCCACCTCCCTCTAGCCCAGCTCTGTGCTTGCTTGGCACCCACTGCAGTATTTCTAGTATCTGCTGGTCATAGCTGATTCCTGGATTCTCTGATGGCTTAAAATCCTCCCAGAGCAGCCTCTGTGAAAGGTCCCTGAAGTTCACCTAGAAGACCACTAAGATTAGATCATCTGTACTTCTTATGCTTCTTTTGTCGCACTTTAAAATTCTCCTGAATGCAATTTTCTCTGGAAGAACCTCAGTATCTGAGTTCAAAAGATAAGGCCACTGTAGGGCAGCGAAGCATCTAACTGTGCATTTGTCCAAGAGGGGGAAATGCTCTACATCTGAAGCTCCTGCCCTTCTCTGTCCGCGGCCTTTTGTTGCACAGGGCATGAGCTTGACACTCCTCAGCAGGCAGGACCCCAACAGTGGTGATTATTCAGGGGTCTACTGTCTCTGTCTCTAGCTTCTGCCAGGATTGGGGATTTCATCCACTTACAGAGAAAAAGACAGAAAATGTGCACATCACCAATGTATTTATAGTCCTAGATGCATATTCAGAATGCAAAGCAAATTGGAAAGATGGGCCAGGCAGTCCAGCTTCAGCTGAGGTTCCTTTGAAGCAGTTTCTTAAAGCACATGGATTTCTCACCTCCTTCCAGACCTGTGATTGTCTGGTCAACACATCTAAAAAGAATATTCTTTCCGGCAACTGTACTGGGTTGAATAGTGGGCCCCTAAATTCATGTTCACCCGGAACACCAGAGTGTGAGCTTATTTGGAAACAGGGTCTTTGCAGATCTAATTAGTTAAGATGAGGTCACAGTGGAGGAGGGTGGACCCTAATCCAATTGATGCAGGGCAGGCGAGCCCCAAAGTGGGGCTTAACCCATCAGGGCCCTTGGCTTCAGCCAGGAAAGAATTCAAGGGCAAGCTGGCGATAGGTGGAAGAAAACAGCTTTACTGAGGCAGCAGTGTTACAGCTCCATGACTGCTCCTGCAGGGCAGGGCTACCCCACAGGCAGTGTGCTGACAGCAGCAGCTCAGGGCAGTTTTGCAGTCATATTTATACCTACTTGTAATTATATTTAGATTAAGGGGCAGTTTATGCAGAAATTGCTAGAAAAAAAGGTGGTAACTTTTGGGTTATCAGGTCATCGCCATGGAAAGGGGTGGTGAATCCCGGGTGTTGCCATGGCAATGGTAAACTGGCATGCACACCAGTGGGCATGTTTTAGGGAAAGCTGCTTCTACTCGGTCCCTGTTTTAGCTAGTCCTCAATTTGGTCCAGTGTCTGACCCGTGCCTCCCACCTCACAATGGCTGCTGTCCTTATAAGAACAGAAGAGACACAGAAATGAATGTCAAGTGAAGACAGAGATGGAGATGAGAGTCACGCACTAAATGCTAGAAAATGCCTGGGCTGGCTAGTGACACCTGAAGCTGGACAGAGGACAGGGCAGGTTCTCCCTCACAGCTCTCAGGAGGAACCAACCCTGCCAACGCATTGATTTTGGACTTCTGGCCTCCAGAACTGTGAGAAAACAAAATTTTTATTGTTTTAAGCCACTTAATTCACAGAACTTTGTCAGGACGGCCCTAGAAAATGAACACAGCAACTGATGAGAAAGGTGGGTGTGCTATGGTTGTAACAGTCACCTGCAGACTTTAACATAGAAAGGATGCTTTAGCGCTCACACATGCAATGGGATTCGGCTCGGGAAGAAAAGGTGGGCATGGGATGGAGAGGAGTCAGGGGATGAAAATGGGGAAACAGGAGAGAGGAAGAACAAAAGCATGGACCTGTAGAATGGGATTCGGAAGGGTAGGTGTCTCAAGGAAGAGGGGGAAAAGCCCTCCCCAGGTCTCACATCAGGTGCATTGATGATGATGATGATGGTCACCGCCATTCACGTGGTGCTTACTGTGAGGGGGCGCTTCATGCACATTAACTCGTTGAATCCTTTACTCCCCTGTGAGGTAGGTATGCTGTCTCCTCCAGTTTTCAGATGAAACACAAACAGTTTAACAACTTTTCCACAGTCCCAGGGCCCGTGATTGGCAGGACCAGGACTCCAGCCAGGCATTCTGACTCTGGAGCTCCTCTGTGAACGCGGCATGGGCAAGCTCAGCATCTTTGTAACAGACACGTTCTCCCGTGATGACTTTTCACAGCCTGTTTGTATTATTCAACTCTTCTGCTTGCTCTTACAGAGATAGGATGCCCGGGCGCCACCGCAGCAGCACCCTGTCACCCCAGTTCCATCCATCAGGGCTGGATGAGTTGGAGTGACAAGCATGACCTCCCTCAGGGGACCACCCGCCATACAGAGCACCTCACTGTCTCGCCACCTCCCACCTGTGGCTGTGTGCCAGCGCAGCCGCTGTGCCACTTAGCCCGTCTTGAGGAGCAGAACCTCTTTTGAGTTAAAATGTTAGGGATTATGATGACACTACCAATGACCAAAAGAGCCGTGAACCATCAGTGAAATAAGCAGTTTTCCTGCAACCAATTCCTCAGACTCTTTTATTCTGGCCTATTGAGATGGTTTTCTTACTGCTGCAATAAGTGTTTACTTTTGTAAGGAGAAAAAATCCCCAAATGTAAGCCACCCTCATCGAAGTCATCCTTTCTGAGGTTTGCACCCAGCAAGGCTGGCAAGGAGACAAAGCAAACACAAGCCAGTCCAAGGAGAAGGTGGGCAGAGGGGTAATGGCCACTACTCTCAGGTTCCCACTCTTCTGAATAATTCTTTCAAAGGTCAGAAACATTCACATAGAACTGCAGTTAGTTTATAGAGGGTAAGGCAGATTTTTGGCTTTTGAACTACTAAAAATGCACTCAGGTGCCCAGTTATGCGGTCCTTCTTTCTTTCTCAGGACACTTACACCTCCAACCCGCACCCTCATGCACTTTTAACATCTCCTCTTCTTTCTTGTCTCAGCTCCATTCACACTTCCTCAGGGAAGCTTTCCTTTGATTCTCATAGTTAGGTAAATATCCTCATTATTTTGCAACAAGCCAAGAGGTTCAGAATATAACCCCCAGGACTAGATTGCATGGGCTCCAAATCTGCCTTTGCCATACACCAACTGTGTGTTTATAAACAACTTAATGTACTGTGCCTCAGTTTTGTCATCTGTAAAATGGCATCAATGCAATGCTTCCCTCCTAGGGTTGTTAGGAGTATTAAATTAGTTAATATTTGAAAAGTGCTTGAAACAGTGCCTGGTATATTGTATGTACCCTGTGAGCATTAGCTGAATAAGATAAAAATATGCTTTAGTGGCATCATCTATCTGCTACTTCATATCACTTGAAATCACTGGAGTTGCACATGTCTTTATGAAGATGTGAGAGGGGCTGTCTCTCCCTCTACATTATGAGCAGGGATAGTGTTTGTAGCACCCACAATTGTATTCCCAGCATCTAGCTTAGGACCTGCACAAAACCGATACGTCATAGATCTTTGTAAAACGAATGAATCAATCATTGAACCAGTAAAAGGAAACTTGTCTGCACCCAAAATCCTGAGATGATAAACACCTTAGAGGGAGATGTCTTAGTCTGCTTGGGCTGCTATCACAGAATACCACAGACTAGGGGTCAAACTGTGGGAATTTGGTTCTCACAGTTCTGGAGGCTGGAAGTCCAAGATCAAGATGCTGGAAGATCTGACCTGGTGAGGGCTCTCTTCCTGGTTTGCAGACAGCTGCCTTCTTGCTGTGTCCTCACCTGGGGAGTGGGAGAGAGTGAGGGCAAGCTCTCACATCTCTTCTTGTAAGGGCACTAATCCTATTCTTAGAGGCTTCACCTCCACGACCTAATCATCTCCCAAAGGCTCTACCACATAATATCATCCCATTGAGGGGTGTTAGGATTTCATCATGTGAATTTTGAGGGGGAACACAACATTCAGTTCATAACAGAGGAATTATCAGGGACCTGAGCTCTCAAGGACATGCAGTGGGACAGATGGTAGGAAGGGTAAAAGGATGGAGAACTGGGGAGCTAAGGAATGCTGGAGAAGCCCACTTGTTCCAGCATTTTGTTTAGAATTTCTCTAATACACCTATCATGTAAGTGTTACTTATTTTATAGGCTTGTCAAACAGACCACGAGGCATTCCTCGTTGACCTGGATAGAGTGAAGAATACAGAATTTCTATACAAAGGATGCCTTAAAGGAATTGATGACAGCATGGGCACCTGAAAATTATTATATGATAATTTGGAAATTATTCTACTATAATTTGGAGATTATTCCATTGCAGTGCAATACAGTGGAGTAATTTCCAGATGCTCACATCAAAATATGAGGTATATGATAGAGATAGGAGAAGCCCTCCTTAGTCTCCTCTTGGCACTGGCACCAAACCCAGAATTCCTTTTCTGCAGCCACCTACTTGAGTCTCAGAGAGGGGGAGTTTCTTTGAATCAATGCAGCCACATGGGCTGGGATGAAGGAAGTGGATTTTCTGGAAATGTATTGTGTGCTGTGGCTTGGTGGGGAAGGACACAATGAGAACAAATGATTCATCAACAGATTTCAGACACTTTGGTCCTTCTCAGAAAACCCGAAAAGAAAATGTAACAAACAAAAGGGAAAATGAGAGGCAGAGAGTGCACAAGGAAATCAGGCCTTCTGTTCCAGAAAGCTTAAGGTCTTTAATAAGAAATGGGAAAAAAAATGGGGATGAATCATCTTAAATGGCATCCCAAGGAAATTGATTTGAAGTTTCACAGAGGAAATGGGCCCCATGAAATGACTACAATAAAGACTTGGGCATAATAAATGTTTTTTTCTTCGTGTGGGTGTGCACATGTATTTTGAGCTCTGAATGCTGATGAAAAGTTGCTTGTGGTGATATAATATCTAATACAGAGTATAGTGCTGGAAACACAGGTGACGAGCCCTTTGGGACTCATTATATTCAGAAAGTTTTTTCAGGATCTAAAAAGGCACGGGTTGGTGTCTTGAATGGTTCTCTCCTAAGGTCTGTCCGTGTGAACTGAAGATGAAGGTGATTTTTCCAGCATGGAATCAATTAATGATTCTCCCATGGCATTGACTGCACCGATGCCTCTCTATCTCTGCCTTTGCTGTCGTGTTACCGAGGCATCCTCCCTTTTCCTCTGTAGGGTTGCAGATCATTTTCAGAGTAAGTTTCCCAGGTCATGGAACATTTCAGCATCTTTGAATCTAATTTCTGACAATTTCTAATGATTTCTTTTTTTTATTTTTTTTTTATTATACTTTAAGTTTTAGGGTACATGTGCACAACGTGCAGGTTAGTTACATATGTATACATGTGCCATGTTTGTGTGCTGCACCTATTAACTCGTCATTTACATTAGGTATATCTCCTAATGCTATCCCTCCCCCCTCCCCCATCCCACAACAGGCCCCGGTGTGTGATGTTCCCCTTCCTGTGTCCATGTGTTCTCATTGTTCAATTCCCACCTATGAGTGAGAACATGCAGTGTTTGGTTTTTTGTCCTTGCCATAGTTTGCTGAGAATGATGGTTTCCAGCTTCATCCATGTCCCTACCAAGGACATGAACTCATCCTTTTTTATGGCTGCATAGTATTCCATGGTGTATATGTGCCACATTTTCTTAATCCAGTCTATCATTGTTGGACATTTGGGTTGGTGCCAAGTCTTTGTTATTGTGAATAGTGCCGCAATAAACATACATGTGCATGTGTCTTTATAGCAGCATGATTTATAATCCTTTGGGTATATACCCAGTAATGGGATGGCTTCTTCCAGTCACTCTTTAGGAAGACAGGGATTAGTTTCTACATATCACAGAGCAATCACTCTGGGGTACTTATCAAAGTGCTCTATCAAATTAGCTTTCCATCGAAGTTCAAAACAAGTAAACTCTTCATTGCAATATGACATACATACAGAAAAAAGCATACATTGCCCACAAACAGCTCCATGAATTTTCACAAAATAAAAACACCAAGATAACTTCTGCTCAGATAAGAAAACAGAGAACTAACAACATCTAGAGTTCCCCTTGATCCTCTCCCAAGTCATGGCCACTTCCTGCTTCCTATTTTTAAAAATCTCCAGCAAAACATTACCAGCACTTCGGAGAGTCCTTGTACTCCTTCTTTGTTTCTAACCCCTACCAGGGTAACCAGGATCCCTACTCCTCACTGCACAGCTTAGCTGGGCCTATTTTTGTACACTATATAAATGGGATCCCATTTTTAAAAGTCTCCTGACTTTTATCACCATCAGGTAGTTTTACCTAATTTTACACTTCATATACATGGAATCATAAAGAATATGTGCTTCTTTGTCTGATTTTTTCATCCAGCTTTATATTTGTGAAATTCTTCCAAGTGGTTGCATGGATCTGAGTTGGTTGCATTTTTGAAAATCTTATTAGTCCCTTTTATGAGTATCCTACAATTTATTCACTCATTCTCCTGTGATGAACATTAGATGTTTCCAGATTTGGCCTACTGTGAATAGTATTTCTATCAACATGTTTATGTATGCCTCTTGAGGCACGAATGCACATTTCTATCCCCAGTAGTGGAGTTGCTGGATCATAAGGCACATCATAAGGTATATTCAGCTTTATTAGAAATGCCAAACAGATTTGCAAACTGATTGCACCAGTTTACACCCCCATCAGCACTGTGTGAGAGCTCTAGCTGCTTCATGTTTGCACCAGAATGTTTTACTGTTTGCCATTTCAAGTGTAGCTATTCCGACTGTGTGTCTCATTGCGGTTTTCGTTTGCATTTCTCTGATGGCGAGTTATGTCAAGGGCCCTTTAAATACACATATTGGTCACTTGGATATCTTCTTGGTTAAACGCCTTTTGGTGGCTTGAGCCTTTTGCCCACTTTTAAAGATTGGGATGGCTTTCTCATGGATTTATTTGTAGGATTGACTTCATATATTCTGGAGACAAGCCTTTAGTCAGATGCATACATTGCAACTATCTTTCCCCACTTTGTGGCTTTCATTGTAACAGTCTTAATGACTTTTCATTTACAGACTTTCATAGTTCCGATGCAGTCGGATGTATCCATCTTTGATTTATCTTCAGTGCTATAATAAAGAACAACTAATCTCCTTCTCATTATTGCCCCTCCAATCCACTATTGTGGACACATGGGAAAGGTCTTGCTCCAAAATCTTGATTACATGTGTAACCAGTTTTTACCGAGATGAGGGGTAAGTATATGGCCAAGCAGATGCCACGAGGTGGAAATGAAAATGAGCATCACTTGGCTGCAATGAAGGCTGCAACAGCACAGATCCGAGGAAAGCAGCTCCAGAGAGAAATCAAATGGGGCCTGTGCCTTTTTGAAAACCATTAACGTTTTGCAAGGTGCAAAGAAATTAAAATGGACATCAAGGTTGCCTAGAAGGCAAATAGTTTGAAAACAGTTCAAACTTGGAGTAGGGAAGGAGGGGTATGGGACGAGGGTGAGAAAGTGGCCTCTTCTGCCTCGATGTCTGCTTGTGTGAACCCCTGTCTACCAACCTGCACACCCAGGTCTCTGTGCACAGACTGACCCAAGAGAGAGCCACAGTGTGGTTGAGGGACCGTTTCGCCATCTCAAGCAGCCAGAGCTGACTCTGGTTGGCATTCAGTTTGTCTGAGCCTTGTTAGCTGTGTCTTTCATTCTCTTTCCTCTTTGTGCAGTCTAATTTCCTCTTCTTTCTGGATACATCTGATACGGTTTGTCCCCACCACATCTGTGGGGAGAAAGAATTGGCTGTTTTCACACCTAAATCTCATCTTGAATTGTAGTTCCCATAATCCCCACGCGCCGCAGGAGGGACTAGGTGGAGATAATTGAATCATGGGTGTGGTTTCCCCCATCCTGTTCTCATGATAATGAGTTCTCATGAGATCTGATGGTTTTATAAGGGGTTTCCCCTTAGCTAGGCACTCATTCTCTCTCCTGCTGCCTTCTAAAGAGGTGCCTTCCATCATGATTGTAAGTTTCCTGAGGCCGCCCCAGCACGGTGGAACTGTGAGTCAGTTAAACCTCTTCCCTTTATAAATTATGTAGTCTCAGGTATGTCTTTATTAGAAATGTGAGAACAAAGTAATACATCCTTCCTACACACACAACCCTGCCACAGAAGGGACTTCTGTGAGCCAGCTACTCCTCCATGCTTCAATCACAACCGGCACACAATACTTGCATGTTAGTGTCATCCACGCCCTATCAGTCTTGATAACTGTTGGTATTCAGTTAAATAAAGTCAGCCCAACAAAACATTATCAAGTAATCACCGTGTGAAGGTACTTCAGGAGACTGAATAATCGGGCACCATCCCTAAGTTAAGGTAGCCAAGTCTGACATTTGAACTGTTTTTTCTTTGCATTGGATTTTTAAAGTATTTTGGTAGATATTATATTTTTCAGACAAAAAGTAAAACCAAGTGAGGTAAAACACCGCATAGCTAGTCAATGGCAGAGTCATGGTCAGAAATGAAGGTCTCTTCCTCTATCTTCTGATTTCTGGTGAATTATCTGATGGTCCTGAGTTATATTATATTATGCAAATGCCATCTTGGCCATTCTTGGCACTAGCATCATCTTCCCTTCCAGAATGAGATATATGGATCACAGGTTTCTTTTTGCTACACTCTGTGTAGTTATTCTTGGCTTATGTTACCATTTATGAATGAAAAGTCTTACCTTGTAAAATGCAACTGGGTATAGTTAACTTTATGCTTTCATTAAATTTCAGAAAAATGCTTAACTTCCTACTCTTCTGAATTAGGTCCTTTTCTTTAGAGAGGCACAGTAGGTGGGGAAGCCTACATTACCAGACTAAACTGTATCTGAGGTATGTGGAAGGGATACAGGTTCAATTTAACGTTTGCCTACATTGCCAGACTAAACTGTATCTGAGGTATGTGGAAGGGACACAGGTTCAATTTAATGTTTTTGTTTCAGTTTTCAAAAGTCCAACTTCTGCATCATGTGAGAATCAATCTGTCACTTGGATTTTTCAACATGTTCAATGATCATGTCTATTTATTCAGATAAACCACACTCCAAGGTGGAGTGTGTACCATTTTATGGAGCTCACATAATCATGCCTAGGGTTTCAGGAAGAAGTTAGTAAAATTCTATTCTTTGTTATTCATAGTTTAAAAATTTCTATTTTTGGATAAGTTCTGTAACAGATATAGTACATTATTTCATGTATGCACATATGCCCTATACATAAATTTTAAAACACACATTTTGGGTAGTATGTACTCAAATTATTTTAAATAATGAGTGAGTAGTCAATAAAGTTTAGAGACCACTGCCAAAGACTATGGTTGAATGACTAACAAAATTAATCACTGTTAAGTAAAAATAGATGACTGATCTTGGCCATGACTCAATGGACAGATCCCAGAATTTTAAGTCCAACAAACCTAAGCTTAAAGCCAGGCTCTTCCACTTCCCTATGTAATCTGTACCTTCCAAAGTACTATGTTTAAAATGGAGGTAATAATAACCATCTGGAGGGATTCGAGGGACAACTAGAGGAGATTGTGAGTGTAGAGTGCCTGCCATAGTTGGTTCTCAATAGATGGTAGCTTCTAATCTGATTATTGTTATCGCTGATGCATCCCCAATTTGTAATATCTTCTTTATTAAGTTAGATTTCTCCCCTCTTTGTCACAAAGTGTTTCATGCTTTATTTCCAGTTATCACCTGTCTAGGCCTTCAGGAACAATGATAACATGTAGGGCAAGGTTCCCCCACATTAACCCAGTTGCAGCCTCATCAAAGTATGCCAGGTTATTACAGCAATCAGGTGAAGGGAGGTTCCCAGGCTTTGCTTTTTGGAGTCTCCTTAGTTCTTACATCACATGGATTCTGAGTTAGGAGCCAACAGGCTTGCTGTGGGGCTCACTGTAGCATGACAAGACCAGGCCAACAGGCTGCAGACAAAATATGGCAGGTCGGAGATCTGTACCAGTAAGTACAATGTGGCCACAGTACTAAGTGTAGCAGGCTTAGATCAGGTCATACTGACTGGCCACATCCTGTAAGAGGGAGAGCAATATCTTTGTCAAAATAAGACTCCATCTCAGAGACCAGAGGAAGGATATGATGTTATTCTGAAAGAGATTGACTCTTTCCCATAGGTGACTCTCTCTTCCCACCACATTTCCAGACTAGATTTTAGGAGAAGAAGCAAGAATAGTGGGTGGCTATCTGAAGTATCAGAACATTATGGATACTACCTAAAGAAACTATGAAATTATTGGATTGGACTGAGTCTTCTTTTAAAACAACTGCAATAAAATACGCATAACATAAAATTTACTGTCTTAACCATTTGTAAGTGTACCATTCGGTGGTATTAAGTACATTCACATTGTGTGCAGCCATCACCACCATCCATCTCCAGAACTTTCTCATCTTAAAAAACTGAAACTCTGTACCCATTAAACAACAACCACCCTTTTCTCCCTCCCTTAGCCCCTAACATCCACCGTTGTACTTTCTGTCTCCATGAACTTGCTATTCTTGGTATCTCATATACATGAAATTATACAGTATTTGTCTTTTTGTGATTGGCTCATTTCACTTAGCATAATGTCCTCAGGGGTCATCTGTATTGTAGCACGTGTCAGAATGTTATTCATTTCTCAGACTAAATTCTATGCTACTCTATATACATATCATTTTTGCTAATCCATTAATCTGTTGATGGACACTTGGGTTGCTTCTACAGTTTAGCTATTGTGAATGCTGCTACTATGAACATGGGTATACAACTATCTCTTTGAAATGCTGCTTTCAATTCTTCAGGGCATATTCCCAGAAGAATAATTGTTGGATCACATGTTAATTCTATGTTGAATTGTTTGAGGAGCTGCCATGCGTTTTCTACAGAGGCTGCACCATTTTACTTTCCTATCAATGGTGCACAGGGTTCCAATTTCTTCACATCCTTGTCAATACTTGTTGCTTTTTTTTTTAATAGTAGCCATCCTAGCGGCTGTGTGGTGGTACTGCACTGTAGTTTTGATTTGCATTTCTCTAATGACTAATGAAATCAAACACACTTTCGGGTGCTATTTAGGGTGAGTTTTATCCTGATTATATATTTAGTACTTTTTTCTTCCTGAAAATCACTACGTTGGAGCTTTGAAGTCCAGGTTTTTTTTTTTTTTTTTTTTTTTTTTTTTGAGACAGTGTCTTGTTCTGTCACCCAGGCTGGAGTGCAGTGGTGCAATCTTGGCTCATTGCATCCTCCACAGCCTCCTGGGTTCAAGCGATTCTTGTGCCTTAGCCTCCCGAGTAGCTAGGATAACAGGCATGTGCCACAATGCCCAGCTAATTTTTTGTATTTTTAGTACAGACAGGGTTTCGCCAGGCTGGTCTCAAACCTTTGTCCCTAAGCGATATGCCTACCTCGGTCTCCCAAAGTGCTGGGGTTACAAGCAGAGCCACTGTGCCAGGCCAAAGTCCAGTTTTCTTATCAACCAACTAGAAGACATGTTCTCTTCATAGTCACATAACAGTTAACATGTGAGACACAACTATGTTGATCTACAATTGTCTTCTTAAGTGATAGAAAGCAATTTCCTTCCTTTTCCCAAGCAAAACATTTTCGACTCTTACTTTCTAGGAATGCACTGAAGAAAATCTCACATTATCAGCTTGAATTTCCCTTTCTGGCTTCAAGATTGTCAGCCATATACTTGCAGAATGTAAAAGCTAGAGGTACTCTTACCTCAAACTGTTCACAGATGAGTAAACTGAGGCACACAGAGGCAAAGCACATTGCCTGTGGTCACTGTTTGTAAATGACAGAATTGAGACTGAGGCTCATGGCATTTGCTCTTTTTCCTCCTGTGTCCATAATTTCTCAATGTGCTCTCTCATGCATCAAGAGGAAGAAAATATTCTGCACCGATGTGCATAGCGGTGCTCCCCAAAGATTTTTGAAGTTGAATTTATTCCTTTAACCGGGCTTCCACTGTCTAGCAGGCAGCATACTATCTAAACCCCCCCTGCATCCATCAGATTCTCTGGGTCAGTGATTTGTAATGGGCACCTTCCATAGCTGGGATAGAAGACAATCGATGCAAGGGGTTTACTTTCCTAGTTCCAGGAAAGCCTGGTAGGCCTCTTGGTCTCTCCTCACCCCATGGTGGGCTGCAGTTCTAAAGCCATGGAGTTTGGTGCTTCTTCCCAGAATAGAGAGTGGCAAATCTTTTCCCTATGGAGGCTGGTCTGCTAAACATTTATCTAGGTTGGCTCCATCTCCAATCTGCAGGGTAAAATTTTAGCCTCTGATATGGTTTGGCTGTGTCCCTATCCAAATCTCATTTTGAATTGTAATCCAAATTGTAATCCCCACGTATCGATGGAGGGACCTGGTGGGAGGTAATTGAATCATGGGGGCGGTTTCCTCCATGCTGTTCTCATGATAGTGAGTGGGTTCTCAGAAGATCTGGTTGTTTGATAAATGTCTGGCACATCCCCCTTCTCTCTCTCTTGCCTGCTTCCATGTAAGATGTGCTTTGCTTCCCCTTCCCCTTCTGCCATGATTGTAGGCTTCCTGAGGCCACCCCAGTCATGCAGAACTGTGAGTCAATTAAACCTCTTTTCTTTATAGATTACCCAGTCTCAGGTAGTATCTTTATAGCAGTGTAAAAATGGACTAATACAGCCTCTGTCTGAAAAATACTTTTACCTTCAAGAAGAGGAGCAACTGTTAAGAAACTAACCCATTTCCGTTTAACTTCATTGCTTCTCTAGCTTGTAATGAGAGGTGTAAACCAAAGACATGTACTTGCTAAAATGATCTTTTGTGGCTGAAAATGACTGTTACATGTACTAGTAAATAATTGTTTCTATTTCAGTTACTAACAAAATGAACAGGCTCTGCTTTTCATAATTGGCTTCATGACTGTGGGTTTTGGCAACAACTCTAGAGGAACACAGGGCCCGGAAGAGGGGCACAATGAAGCCACTCACTGTAATAACTTAAGCAACAACAATGCAGTAAGTAAAAACCCTCTTAGATCTAAAATATTGGTTTTCTATATGTCAATTTCTTAGTAATTTTCTTCCATTTCCTATCCACTACTCTTAGTTATTTTGATTTTTCTATATTTGGAAATAGGAACCCAATGATGCTGTCCCTGTGCCTCTGTATTAGTCTTTTGTCATACTGCTGAAAGAGACATGCCTGAGGCTGGGAAGAAAAAGAGGTTTAATGGACTTACAGTTCTACATGTCTGGGGAGGCCTCACAATCACAGCAGAAGGCAAGGAGGAGTAAGGCATGTCTTATATGGATAGTGGCAGACAAAGAGAGAGAGCCTGTGCAGGGAACCTCCCATTTTATTAAAACCACCGGATCTTGTGAGACTTATTCACTATCACAAGAACAACATAGGGAAAGACCTGCCACCATGATTCAGTTACCTCTTACCAGGTCCCTCCCACAACACATGGGAATTGTGGGAGTTACAATTTAAGATGAGATTTGGGTGGGGACACAGCCAAACCATATCACTGTCCCACCCTCCTGCAGCTTCAATATCCTCCATGTTCTCCAGAACAGAGTCCAGAGGCCTGAGCAAATCTCCCCAAGTCAACCCACTTCTCCAAGCACAACTCTGAACCTCCTTTCATGTGCTGCCACTCCAAACTTTTCTTTTGTTCCCTAACCTGCCGGACTCCTTCACACTTTCACACCTTTGCAATATCATCTCCTTTTCTCCCCCAATGGTTAACTTCCTCTCTGTCCTTCCTTTCAGACTCATTCAGGCCTCTCCTCCCATTTCCCCATCACAAAGAGTGTTCTTGATTCAAGCTCCAATGCATTACTGGGATGCATTCCTCCTGCTGCTCTCTAGCTTGGCTCCTAAGGACTTGGGATTAAGTAACTGCCATAAACGCGAAGTGTGTCCCTCTCTTGTCCATTCCACACACTGCTGTGCTGGGCAAAGCTCATTGTATGTGTTCACAAATCCTCGGTGAATTAACGAATACAAGAAATGAACCAATTGAGTGATTTTCTAAAGCACAAAAAGTATCACTTTGTGACTCATACCCTTAGAGGATCCTTTTAAACTCATTACTGATGGAACAGAGACTTTCCACAACTGGTCCCGTTCTCTCTCCCTAGCTTCATCTCTGTTGCTCTCAACTCCCTTTTTGTTCACACTCCACATGCTCTGGGGACACCAGAGTGTCTCCATCCTTTCCTCATGCTACTCCCCTGGTCTGAAAAGTTCCTTCTGATATGGTTTGGTTCTGTGTCTCCACCCAAATCTCATGTTGAACTGTAATTCCCAATGTTGGAGGGAGGGACCTGGTGAGAGGTGATTGGATTGTGGAGGCAGATTTCCACCTTGCTGTCCCTGTGATAGCGAGTTCTCATGAGATCTGGTTGTTTAGAAGTGTGTAGCACTTTTCCTTTCACTCTCTCTCTCTCACCGCCATGTGGATATGTGCTTGCTTCCCCTTTGCCCTTCCACCATGATTGTAACTTTCACGAGCCCTCCCTAGCCATGCCTCTGGTACAACCTGTGGAACTTCGAGTCAATTAAACCTCTTTTTTTTAATATATAATCTACTTAGTCTCAGGCAGTTCTTTATAGCAATGTGAGAATGGACTAATACACTTCCCTTCTTGACTTTCTTGTGAACATCCCCCACTTTGCAAAACACAGCTCATGTCCTCAATGATCCTTTATCTGACTTTGCACAGCATAAACTGCTGTCTCTCCCACCTCTCCCACTCTCTCTCTTGCTCCCAGTGGTTTCTAAATTATGGGTTATGACTCATTAGTGAGTCATTGCATCAGTTTAGCAGGTCCCACCCAGAACTTTAAGCAATGAAATAAAAAATTATCAAAAAGCCCCCTTCACAGTAAAAGTACAAAACGTGTTTCAGTGTCCGTAAGTGTGTGTAATGGGTGTGTGGGGGTGCATGCTGATTCACAAATAAATGGATGAGTTTTGTAGTCAATTCCATTAGTTACTAGTATATCTGAGGAAATAGCTTTCCTCTGGGTGAAGCTATCATTCTCTATTTCATGTCAACTATGTTGCTAGGCCCAGTGAGGGATACTGAGTTAGATTTGGGGTTAAGCTTTAGCTCAAACATAATTCTAGCACCAAATCTCCATTCCATTATTTTCTCTCGTTTCCATCTTAAGCATTCACAAGGGCATTTAGCATTGCTGCAATTCTTGGATCTAATGTCCTTAGGGAGTTGGATGCTTGTTCTAATGTGCCTAACAAGAAAGAGTACACTTTTCAAAGAACCTAGCTATTTGTGACAGTGACAGGCATTTGGCAAATAAATATTCCCATTCTCCAAGGACCCTCAGAGAGCCATAAGTAACACAAATTATAAATCTCCCATTGGTACAGTCAGAAAGACTGACTTTCCTTTGCCATGACTAGTCTGTCCATTTTTAGCTACCAAGCGTCAATTCCAGATTCTCAGATTCCTCTTCCTTTCTGCCTGTAGCTCTGTTTCTTTGAGCTGTGATGCTGACGTGTATGTTAGATGAAATCAAGATAAGTTATTATATAGAGTGCAGAGCCTAGATGGAGTTCAATCTCTGGAATGAAGTTGGTTATTTAAGTAATGAATTGTCAGTAATGCACTCAGGACATAGAGCAATTTTGTGTGATTTTCCAAACTCAAAACTGCAAAATACTTATGGAAAACTTAACATGAATTTGGCCACATACTAGAGTCTTGTGTTATGTAATCCTGGTCACATGGTTTGTATATCACATGGTTTTCTGGCGTTTTAATTTTGCCTGGTGGTGAGTGATCAAAGGCCTGTTGATTGAGGAAAAAACCCACTTTGATAGTCCAAAGGGATTTGTGTGTGGACTTAAGATTTCCGACAGCCTTCTCTATACTTTTCTCACTCAGAACATGTTTTTTCCCCCCAAGAGAATTCTTTCAAGCTAAGGTTGCTTTAAAAACTAGAAAGGATAAAAAAGGCCCAAGATACACAACAGTAAGTCACTGGGAAAGCTAAAAAGAAAAACACCAGCATCATGCACGTTAACACTATCGGGTGCTGCACCCAAGTGCAGAGGCAGTAGCCCGGCTGCCTGGGTTCAGACTCCAGCTCTGCCACTTGCTAGTCTTGTGGTCCCAAAGAAGACCCAAAACTCCTCTGTGCCTCAGTTTCTTCATCTGTAAAGTGGAAACAAAAATTACCTACTCTGTGGAGGTGTTTTAAAGAGTCAATTAGTAAATATATGCCAAATGCTTAGCTCATTCCCTGACATAAATATTCTATCCTGTTACGATCATTAGCTATTGAACAGAGTTGAAAATGACTGTGTTCCATAGGAAGGCAGGGAAAGAATTTGCCATACCCATACCTGGTTGTGACAATGAAATGTATTCTTTCCTTCTACCCATTACCTACAAAGTAATGATCATTAAAGCATGTGAATTCAGGGAGGATTCTAAGGTCCAATACATGTTCATGGTGAGGAAGAACAATGACAACATTCACAATATGTGTTTCTCTTTTGATTTTTATTCCTAAGGTGAATTAGTCTTCTTCTCCCAGCTTTTTAAAAGGCGTAATTGACAAGTAAAATTGTATATATGTAAGGTGTACAACATGACATTTTAATATACATATACATTATAAAATGATTATCCTAATAAAGCTAATTAACGTATCTATTACCTCACATAGTTACTGTATTTTTTTCTGGTGAGAACATTTGGGATCTGCTTTCTTAGCAAATTTCAGGGATACAGCACAGTATGTTTTTGTATTTTTTAAAATTTTTGTTTCAGTAGCTTTTGGGGTACAAGTGTTTTTTTTGTTACATGGATGAATTATATAGTGGTGAATTCTGGGATTTTAGGGCACCCATCACTGGAGTAGTGTACATTGTACCTGAAGTTTAGTGTTTTTCTTTTTTCTTTTCTTTTTTTTTTTTTTTGAACTGGAGTCTTCCTCTGTCACCCAGGCTAGAGTACAATGGCGCGATATCAGCTCACTGCAACCTCCACCTCCTGGGTTCAAGCTATTCTCCTGCCTCAGCCTCCTGAGTAGCTGGGACAACAGGCGCCCCCCCACCATATCCCGCTAATTTTTGTATTTTTAGTAGAGACGGGGTTTCACTGTTGGCCAGGCTAGTTTGAACTCCTGACCTCAGGTGATCTGACCACCTCGGCCTCCCAAAGTGCTGAGATTACGGGCATGAGCCACTGTGTCCGGCCAAGTATAGTTTTTTATTCATAGCTCCCCACCCATTCTCCCCATTTTGAGTCTCTAGAGTCCGTGATATCACTCTGTATGCCTTTGCATACCCACAGCTTAGCTCTCACTTATAAGTGAGAACATAGAGTTTTTGGTTTTCCACTCCTGTGTTACTTCACTTAGAATAATGTCCTCCAGCTCCATCCAAGTTGCCGCAAAAGACGTTATTTAGTTCTTTTTTGTGGCTACTATTCCATGATATATATGTATTACATTTTGTTTATTCACTCACTGGTTGTTGGGGACTTAGGTTGGTTTCACATCTTTGCAATTGTGAATTGCGGCACAGAATTATTAACTATGGTCGCCATGCTGTACATTAGATCTACAAAACCTATTTATCCTGCATAACTTTGTACCCTGTACCCTGAAACACTGTACCCTTTGACCAGCATTTCCCTACTTCCCCATCCCCATTCCTGGAAATCCCCATTCTACACTCTGCTTCTATGAGTTTCACTATTTTAGAGTCCACATCTAAGTGAGATCATGCAGTATTTGTCTTTCATTTAACTTAATGTCCACTTTGTTTAATCTATGTTGTAGCAAATGACAGGATTTCCTTCTTTCTAAAGGTAGAATAATATTGCATTGTATATATACCATATTTTTTTTTCCATTCACCCATTGCAATAGAAAGAACTTTGTTTTAGGCCAAAGGAAAATCACAGGACACTCAGATATATGCCATGTCTTGGCTATTGTGAGTAATGCTGTAGTAAATATGGGAGTGCAGATATTTCTTTGACATACTTATTTTCTTTGGATATATACCTCAAAGTGGGATTGCTGGATCATAGATAGTTCTATTTATCTTTTTTTTTTTGACAGAACTTTACACTGTTTTCCATACTTACTGTACAAATTTACATTCCAAATAACAGTGTACAAAGATACTCTATATCTTTACTAATACTTGTAATTTTTTGTCCTGTTGATAATAGCCGTTCTAACACGTGAGGTAATATCTTATGGTTTTGATTTGTATTTCTCTAGTGATTAGTGATGTTGAACATCTTTTCCTTTACATGCATTTGTATGTCTTCCTTGGAGAAATGTCTATTAGGTATTATTATTATTATTATTATTATTATTATTATTTTGAGATGAAGTCTCGCTCCGCAATCTTGGCTCACTGCACCCTCCACCTCATGGGTTCATGCAATTCTCCTGCCTTAGCCTCCTGAGTAGCTGGGATTACAGGCACATGCCACGATGTCTGGCTAATTTTTTTATTTTTTATTTTTTATTATTTTTTTAGTAGAGACGGGGTTTCACCATGTTGGTCAGGCTGGTCTCGAACCCCTGACCTCATGATCTGCCCACCTCAGCCTCCCAAAGTGCTGGGATTACAGGTGTGAGCCACCATGCCTGGCCCAGGTCTTTTGTCTATTTTTAGGTTGCGTTATTTGTTTTTTCACTATTGAGTTGTTTGAGTATTTTATATATTTGAATATTAACCCTTATTAGATAAATGGTATACAAATATCTTCTCCCATACCATAGTTTGACTTTTCATTCTATTGATTGTTTCCTTGGCTGTGCAGAAAGATTTTAGTTTGATACAAATCTGTATTAGGTGGTTTTTGCCTTGCTATAAAGAAATACCTGAGGCTCCATAATTTATAAGGAAAAGTGGTTTAATTGGCCCATGGTTGTGTAGGCTGTACAAGCATGGCATTAACATCTGCTCGGTTTCTAGGGAGACCTCAAAAAGCTTCCAATCATGGCAGAGAGCAAGGGGGAACAGGTATGTCACATGGTGAGGGTGGTAACAAGGGAGGGGTGCCACACACTTTAAAACACCAGAACTTGTGTGAACTCAGAGCCTGAACTCACTTGTTATCATGAGTACAGCACCAAGCTATTCATGAGGGATCGGCTTCCATGGCCCAAACACCTCTCAGTAGGCCTCACCTCCAACATTGAGGATTATATGTCAACATGAAATTTGGAGTGAAAAAATATCTGAACCATATCAAATTCAATTTGCCAATTTTTGCCTGTTTGGTTTTTGAGGTTATAGCCAAAAGCTTATTTACAAACCAATGTCAAGAAGTCTTTCCCCTATGTTTTCTGCTATCTGTTTAGTTTCAGGTCTTACAGTGAAGTCTTTAATTCATATTGAGTTGGATTTTGAATATAAAGTGAGATAAAGATTAAGTTTTATTCTTCTGCATGTGGATATCCAGTTTTATCAACACTATTTATTCTTTGCCTATTGTGTGTTCTTGTGTTCTTGGCAACTTTGTAGAAGATCAGTCAACCATAAATGTGTGGATTCATTTGGAGGCTTTCTATTCATCTCCATTGGTCTATATGTCTGTTTTTATAAAAGTACTCTACCCTTTTTATTATTATAGCTTTGTAATATAATTTGAAATCAGATTATGTGATGCCTCCAGCTTTATTCTTCTTGCTCAAGATTGCTTTGTCTATTCAGGGTCTTTTATGGTTCCATATAAACTTTAGAATTGTTTTTTTTCTTTTTATATGAAAAAGCCATTGGAATTTTGATAGGGATTGCATTAAATCTGTAGATAGCTTTGGGTAGTATGGATATTTTAATGATAATTCTTCCAGTCCATGAACATGGGATATTTTTCCATTCATTTGTTGTCTTCTTCAATTTCTTTCATCAATGTTTTATAGTTTTCAGTGTATAGATTTTTCACCTCTTTGTTAAATTCGTGTTTTTAGCATTCTTTTACACAGAGTTGTATCCTTAATTTCTTTTTCAGATAGTTTATTGTCAATGTATAGAAACACAATTGATGGTCAGGGCTACGCTGGGCCTGACGTTGGGTGAATTTGCTGCTTGGGATGGGCAAAATCAGAGTTCATGCTCCTTAGAAATGCAAGATTTACCATTTTTGATTTAATATTTGTTTTATCTCATATAGGTATAGGTACTCCTGCTCACTTTTGGTTTCCGTTTCCATGAAATTTAACCCTTTACCTTCAGTCTGTGTGTCTTTACCAGTAGGGTGAGTTTCTTGTGAGCACATATAGTTAGTTCATGTTTTAAAAAACCCATCCAGCATTTATATCTTTCAAGTAGAGCATTTAATTCATTTACATTTAAGGTAAATATTGATACGTGATGTTTTATTCCTGTCATAATGTCAGTTGTTTTCTAGTTGTTTTGTGGATTCTTTTTTTCTTTTTTCTCTTTGTGGCTTCTTGGAGTTATGTTGTATTGACATTTGAGTTCTTTTTCTTCCCCTTTTGTGTAATTGTTTACAAGACTTATAAGTTTTATACCTTTGTGTGTTCTATGTTGTCTCTTTTTTCTTAATACAGGCTTTCTCACTATAAATTTTCTACTTAGAATTTTTTTTTGCTGTATCTCGTAAGTTTTGGAATGTTGTGTTTCCATTTTTATTTGTCTCAAGACTTCTGAAATTTATTTTTTGATTTATTCTTTGGCCTACTGATTGTTCAGAAGTGTGTTTTTTAATTTATACATGTTTTTGAATTTTCCAATTTTCCTCTGTTATTGATTTCTGGTTTCATATACCTGTGGTTGGAAAAAGGATACTTATTGTAATTTCATTCTTTTTAAATTTGTTAGGACTAGTTTTGTGGCTTAACATATGATCTACATGATCTATCCTAGAGTATGTTCCCTGGGTACTTGAAAAGAACGTGTAGTCTGCTGCTGCTGGTTGGAATGGTCCGTATGTCTGTTAGGTCCATTTGGTCTATATTGTTGTTCAAGTCTGCTGTTTCTTTTTCTTTCTTTTTCTTTTTCTTTTTTTTTTTTTTGGAGTTTCACTCTTGTTGCCTAGGCTGGAGTGCAATGGCACGATCTCAGCTCACCACAACCTCCGCCTCCCGGGTTCAAGCCCTTCTCCTGCCTCAGCCTCCCGAGTATGTAGGGTTACAGGCATGCACAACCAAGCCTGGCTAATTTTTGTGTTTTTAGTAGAGACGGGGTTTCTCCATGTTGGTTAGACTGGTCTTGAACTCCCGACCTCAGGTGATCCACCTGCCTCAGTCTCCTAAAGTGCTGGGATTATAGGCATGAGCCACTACACCCAGCCAAGTCTGCTGTTTCTTTATTCATTTTCTGTCTGGATGATCCATACATCGTTGAAAGTGGGGTATTGAAGTCCCCTACTATTATTGTATTGTTGTCTATTTGTCCTTTCAGTTCTGTTAATATTTGATGTATGTATTTAGGTGCTTCAGTGCTCTCTGCATATGTATTCACAGTTATTATATCCTCTTGATGGATTGTCATTTTATCATTATATAATTATCTTCCTTGTCTCTTGTTTTTTTTTTATCTTGTTTTATTTTGTCTGATATACATACAGCTACTTTTGCTTTCTTTTTGTTAACATTTGCATGGGGTATCTTTTCTTTTGTCCCTTATCTTTCAGCTTATGTAGCCCTTTAAATCTAAAGTGAGTCTCTTGTAGGTAGCATGTAGTTGAATTATGTTTTTTTTAAATTCATTTAGCCATTTTATGTCTTTTGATTGAATAATTAACTTATGTTTAAAGTAATTATTGCTAGCTTAGAACTTACTGTTCTTCTGACTATTTTTTAGTTCCTTTGTTTCTTTCTTTCTCTCTTGCCAGCTTCCTTTGTGATTTGATTATTTTTGTAGTGATATGTTTTGATTCCTTTCTCTCTCTCTTTTGAGTATCTACTAGAGACTTTTTCTTAGTGGTTATAATGAGGCTTATTTAACAGAAAACAGTCTATAGTTATAACATTCTACTTTGGCTGACTGCAGTGGCTCACGCCTGTAGTCCCAGCAGTTTGGGAGGCCAAGGCAGGTGGATCACGAGGTCAGGAGATCAAGACCACCCTGGCCAACATGGTGAAACCCCGTCTCTACTAAAAACACAAAAATTAGCTGGGCATGGTGGCATGCGCCTGTAGTCCCAGCTACTCAGGAGGCTGAGACAGGAGAATTGCTTGAACCTGGGAGGTGGAGGCTGCAGTGAACCGAGATCACGCCATTGCGCTCCAGCCTGGGTGACAGAGTGAGACTCTGTCTCAAAAACAACAACAACAACAACTATATATATGCATATATATATATATATATACTACTTTAAGAGGATAAATTTACATAAAAATTCTACCTTTAATTTCTTCTTCCTCCACATTTTATATTATTAATGTCTCAATTTACATCTTTTTGTAATTTGTATTTATTAACAAATTACTGCAGCTCTAGTTATTTTTCAGACTTTTTTTTGCTAGAGTTAAAAGTGATTTGTGCACCACAATTATAGTATTAGAATATTCTGAATTTGACTATATTCTTATTTTTACAGTGGGTTTTATTTTCACATTGTTTGTTAGTGTCCTGTTGTTTCAACTTGAAGAATTCCCTTTAGCATTTTCATAAGGCAGGTGTAGTGGTAATAAACTCTCTTAGCTTTTGTTTTTCTGGGATAGTCTTTATCTTTTTTATTTCCGAAGGGCAGCATTTCTTGATATAGTGTCTTTGGCTGGCAGTTTTATCTTTCAGCACTTTATCATGCCACTTTTTCCTGGCCTGCAAGATTTGTGCTAAGAAATATGCTGATAGTCTTATAATGGTTCACTTGTATATGAAAAGCCACTTTTCTCTTGCTGTTTTAAAAATTATTTGTCTTTTACTTTTGAGATCTTGATTATAATTCATCTTGGTGAAGATCTTTTCACATTTGATGTTTGGTACGGTTTGGTTGTATCCCCACCCAAATCTCATCTTCAATTGTAGCTTCCATAAACCTCGTGTATTGTGGGAGGGACCTGGTGGGAGGTAATTGAATCATGGGGACTGGTTTTTCCCATGCTGTTCTAACAATAGTGTATAAGTCTCACAAGTTCTGCTGGTTTTATAAATGGCAGTTCCCCTGCACGTGCTCTCTTGCCTGCCACCATGTAAGATGTGACTTTGCTTTTCCTTTGCCTTCTGTCATGATTGTGAGGCCTTCCCCGCCATATGGAACTGTGAGTCCCTTAAACCCTTTTTCCTTATAAATTACCTAGTCTTAGATATTTCTTCATAGCAGTATGAAAATGGACTAATGCAATGTAAAAAGGTTTTCTTTGTGTTTCATCGATCTGATTTTTGTTTCCGTCTCCACGTTTGAGTAGTTTTCTGTCATTATTTCTATAAGCTTTATTTCCCTTTCTCTTCCTCTGCTCCTTGTAGGATTCCCATTATGTATATACTGGCTCACTTGATGATGTTCCACAAGACTTATAGGCTTTGTTTTTTTCATCTTTTTTACTTTTTGTTTCCCTGACCAGGCAACTGCAAATGAATTGTCTTTGAACTCACCAATTGTTTTTTCTGCTTGATTGAGTCTGCTGTTGAAATTCTGTATGGAATTTTTCAGCTCAGTCTTTGTATTCTCTGTTTCCAGAATTTCTTTTTGGTTCTTTTTTATGGTATCTGCTTGTTAACGTACTAATTTTGTTCATGTATTGTTTTCCTGATTTTGCTTAGTTGTTTTCTTATAGCTCACTGAGTTTCTTTAAGTTGGTTATTTTGAATTCTTTGTCAGACCATTAATAGATCTTAATTTATTTAGGATCAGCTACTGATGCTTTATTTTGTTTTTGTTTTTGTTTTTTTTGCTGGTACCATGGATCCCTGATTATTCATGATCCTTGTAATTTTGAAGAAGTATCTGAACTTTTGAAAAAGTAGGTACCTCTTCCAGTTGTTAGAGCCCAGCTTCAGCAGAGAAAGCCTTATACCAGCTAGCCTGTCCAGGGATTTTGGACAGGCTGGCTGCCAGTGTCTGCAGGTAGACTTGCCATTGGAGTCCTCACATGGGCTGATCTGGTATCTGGGTCAGTGGGTGAAAGAGTCTGGAGCCTGAATCTGCAGGTGCTGGCTTGGTGCCCGAGGCCATGAGGCCAAGCCTGGAGCCTAGGGCCATGGGGCCTAGCCTGGTGCCAGGATTCAATGGAGAAGGCCTGATACTTTGGTGCATGGTGAATTTGGGTACTCAGTTGATCCTCGTCCTTCCATGTGAATGGTACCTCTCTCTGCATTTTAGTTTGGGAAAAAGATGACATGGGTAATGTGAAACTGTCCCTCCTACCATGTTCAATCTACTTTTTCTTATTTCTGTTTTACACTCAAGTGCCGTAATTTCTCTTCTGAATTATTAAGCCCTTGTGAAAGTATTTTCACGTGTGGATGCTCGTTCATGTTGATGTGTCTATAAGGGATGGCTGACATCATCAATTTCCATTTTTTTCTTATATATTTAAAATCGGGTAAATATCCCAAGCAAGTAAGAAAATTGATACTCATAGTGACCTCTTCAACAGAAAACCTCACACATTTGGTTTTGAGTTCTCAGCTTTGATTATTGTGAAAAAGACTGTAATGTGATTTTGTGTAAAAAGCCATATTACAGAAATCAATGATAACAGGGATATGTTGATATTTCCTACATTTACATACCTTTATTAGCAACGTCACTCTGCATCGTCACCTGCAGATTTCCCCCTAATGTATAGGGTCATGGGTACTCTCGTCCCTAGGGACATTTCCCAAAAAATGTTCTCAGAAGAATGCAAATACCAAGAATAAAGAGTGTGTATTACACAGAACCTGATAGACCACCATTCATATTGTACATTCTAAGTGTCATATCTAGCTAACCTGTGTTTGGGGTCAGTTCACATAACTTCTGAGCAATTCCCTTCTTGTCACAAGCCATTAACTCCCATGATGTGTGATCGCTCCTAGTTCTAAAATAACGATGATACTAATACTGTCATTTAAAAGATAGAGATATTATTTGAGTGTTCAGCATTTTGATTTGCAGCTCTATTTCCCTTAATCTGTTTCTTTCTTAATTTGTTCATTCATCCAAAATTTCTTGTTCCTATTTGTCATCCATATAACTTATGTCTGCCACAAGCAGTTGAACAACACTTCTGGAGGGTCACGTGAAGATGCTGATGTAGAAACACAACAATGTGATGTGTGCATTAGGGTCTTTGAATGTATACTGTTTATGTACATTAAATAGTATGCTCTGTGGAATTAAAAAGAGAAATTATGGTTTGCAGAATACATTAGTTTAGGAAACAAATCAAAGTGATGACTTCTGTGACTGATTCCCGTTGTTTGACTGTGTCCTGTGGAGAACATTAAGCAGAAGTACAAGTGGTCTATTATCCCTTCATGGGGTTTTTGCAGAAATTTCCTGCCTCCTCCCTTTGTGTCTCCTGCAGTTTGGGATGGAGCAAGGATGGGAACTGGGCATTCCAAACCTGCAAAGAGTGTGATGTCTCTCCAGGAGTTACCTTATCTCTGATGATGATGGGGTTTTGTGAAAAATCTTAGCAAAATAAATATCATAGGTCATGTAATTTTTATGCTTTGATAATCTGTCTTTTAAGGGGATTGGGCTGTCCCAGTGAGAAACTAAATCCCAGAGTAGAGACAAATTTAAAGTCAGAATATATTTCAGAGGCCAGTTACTTTGTGGATATGAGGCTGAGACCTGTGAAGTAGATGACCTTTCCCAGATCATACAGTAAATCGGTGAGAAAACCAAGAGACAGAATTGAAATTTCTGACTTGCAGTCCATTCTGCGAGGTTGCCTCTTTCTACAGCATATTTATTTGTTTTTACAAAATTGTAAAAGAATGCCCAAACTTTTATACATGTAAGTAACTCTGTTGGATGATGTGGTACAGTGTACCATGGCTAAAAATGGGGTTCTGTGGCTTAGAGCAACTTAAAATCTTTACCCTTCCTTCATTTGTCTATAAAATGAGTGTTGTGAGTTTTCAATGGTTTTATACATACCTAACATGGCGAATGGAAGAGCTATTTTTTTTAAGCTGGAATTTGTAGACGGTATCGCATAACTAAGAAAATATCTTTCCAAAATATCTGCCCTGCATAGACCCAGCATCTGGTGATGTTTTTATTTCCTAAGTAGGAAAGCTTAAATGCAGAGAGACACTAAGTAAAGTTCCCTGACTTCAAATGTTCACACTATTCATTTTCAAAATCAGATGTGTCAATTCTAGCTCTTTGTGTATACAAGTACCAATGTTCTTACATCCTATCAATTTCTAGAAACACTCCATTGCAATGGAATTTGAGACACAGATGGGACTTCTTTGGGTAACTATATGGGAAGGCAGGAGAGAACAATGATTGAAGAAATGTGCTTTGAGTCAAGACGGTCTGGTTTCAAGTCCCGTCTCTGTTGAATACTACTATGTGGCCTAAAGAATGTTACTTATACTCTAAGCCTCAGTTTTCCTGTGTAAAAAATGAGACTAATAAATAGTATCTACATTTTTGGGTTATGGTGATAATTACCTGAGTTAGTGGAATAAAGTATATCACCCATTACTTGGCACATATTAAGGACTCAAAAATAATAACCATCAGTATTACTGTCTATCCTCACTCTTTACTCTTTAGTATAATTGAAACCTAGAGCAGTTCAGCAACTTGCCCAAGACCACACAGTCAGTTAGTGGTAAAATCAGAAACATTACCCAGATTTCCTAAATATCAATAGAAGATTGATTATTGCCTCTAGTCAGGAAAAAAAATTCAGCCTAAGGGTATAATGTAATCAACTAATCTCAAAGAGCAGTAATCTCTCTTGATTCCAATGAGTACTGCAAACTATAGGGGGAGCCATGAATGGGAAATGTTTTTTCTCAAACTTGTATCATGCCTAGATAACTTTTCTTAAAGGCTTTTACCTCATGAGTTAGAGAACTATGCAGAAAAGTCCCAAAGATATTAAATAACACAGTTTAGTGGTTTCCTCAGGGGAATCTTGGATATAGAAAGAGATAAAGGCATCTCTTGCTGATAAAAAGAGACAGCCTCAAGGGAGAAGTTTAAGTTGAATTCCATAAAGCCAAGGCTTATGACTTCATTGTTGCAAAGTCTCTGAAGGATGCAGGAGGAAAAAAACATATTTCAATTTATTTTATATCAAAGTAGTGGGTTGTCCCCGAAACTACAGTTTCTGGGGAACTATAGTTTTGGGGACAGCTGCAATCAGTTGAGCTTTATAAAAAGAATAGTGTTTGCCTTGTTAATGGAACTAGGGATACTAAGATACCATTTGGCTACCTATCGTCATAGGACAGGGTCTGGCCCAATGGCGTGATACAGCCAGCTTACACTGGCTTGTGAGAGGTGACTGCGCCTGTCTCTTCTCCAACTGGTGTTCAGTGACATCATGTTAACTCAAAATCAGCCGTGATGGGAGAACTTACACCACAGAAACTGACAAATGCTACAGAGTGGGGCTTTTCTCCCTCGTGCCACTAGGGATACTCCCTACATAAATCATCTTAGGCAGGTAGGAATGAGTGAGTATGAGTGTGTGTG
Source organism: Homo sapiens (assembly GCF_000001405.40). NCBI lineage: Eukaryota > Metazoa > Chordata > Mammalia > Primates > Hominidae > Homo > Homo sapiens. Next base: position 7,015,559 of record NC_000010.11, on the reverse strand, counting down.
TGTGTGTGTGTGTGTGTGTGTGACAGAGAGAGAGAGAGCACATGAGAGAACTACTTTCTTTTTATAAGTAGCCTGGCACTTTTCATGTGTTATGATTTAGAAATGACTTTTTAAAAGGCATATACTCCCTGAAATGAATTCTGAAAAAAATCTTATTTTCAGTTGAATTCTTCATGGTTTATTAATCTAATCTAAAACAAAACAACAAAACCACAAGGGCAAATCTTATTTGGGAAAAAATAATGCTAGCCATTAAAATATAAAAGATGCAGATATGAAAGTTAGAAACTTAGAAAAAGTGTATCTGGGAAGGTTTTTGGATTTTTGCCCTTTGTGGGCACTGAAATCCGGTGAGAGTCACAGAAATGGAGGAGACCTACAGCTTCATTGTGTAAATTACAAACTCCCAGCGGTTTCAATTTAAAAGAGGCTTGATCAATAAGCCATTGTGCTTCAGTCTCACGTGGAAGGTACTAGACAAGGTCCCAGTGCAGATGGAGGTTCAAATGTCTCTTTCATGATTGATAGAAAGGGAGGTGGGAGAACATTGGCCAATTCTGCTAACTGATTTGAGCTCACCTGCTCAGGTACCTGCAGTGCTGAAATAACTTGCGCCTCCTGCCAAGCATGGAAGCAGAAAAGAGTTGTTTCTGCAGATCACTGGGTCCCCAAGTGGAATGAACTGAGCCAGCAGGCCCAGAGCCTTCTCCTTAACTCGAATTAGATGCACCATTAATCTTTTCTCAGAAATAAAGGACAGGGAGAGGGTTACTTTAGCAGACGGTCCCTTTCTATAAAATAAAACATGAGGTGTGGGGAGTAAGTGTCCCCTCAACCTCATTATCACCCAAAGGAAAATATGAGTGTTATGAGAGCAGGAGACAGAGAGACCCAAGTTCAAATCCTGATCAATGACTTCCTGGTTAGGTGGTCTAGATAGGGTTTTACAGACTCTCTTGGCCTCAGGTTCCCCATCTGTAAACTGGGATGGTAATAGGCTGTGGTGAGATTTCATGGGGTGCTGCATGGAAAACCTTAGCCCAGCACCTAGTTTATGGCGAGTTCCCAATACAAGTCAGCTAGTGGGAAAATTATTGTGTATTGTACGTTGCGTGTAGCTTTGGAGAAGACAAACGGTAGCACAACTCATCACTATGGCTGCTTGCTCAATGAAGGCCTAATCATTTCTAAAGGTTGCAAACTACACTTGAAGTCTTAATTAAGGTTAATAAATTCCATGCTGATTAGAACAGTAACAACCACTGTCTTTTTCTGTGGGGCTACAGCTATTGAGTTGGAGAATATGACATTATTGCCAAGGTCAACATCTCCTTAATGCCAAATTTCAGTGGGAAATTAGGAGGTAAGTTGGACAGTTCTAGAGTCTCAGGCCCTTGCTAAAAAGTGCATCTTTCAACTTTCCTCCTAATTCAGCCATGGGGCAGTAGGTAATCAACACTTCAACCTCCTCAAGAAAAGAGAGAAATGTACCTTTCTACCTGATTGACCTTGAGACATACAGGAAGACGCTTAGGGAGGATTCTATGTTTTGGTCAAATGGTTATGTCTATGTAAAGATTCCTTGTGTGTATGTACTTTCCTTTTAAAATCTCAAAGACTTGTTCCTTATAGTTTAATGGTATCAAACTTAATTTGTTAAAAAAAATTTACCTTATTTACCTAACTTATCCCACATCATTTGAAATCAAAGAAATGTGGGCTCAGTCCTCCACTTACAAAAGGTGTAACTGTGGGCGAGTTAGTCTTTCTGAAACCCAGCTGTTCCCTTCTGTAAAACGGGATAATAGCATCTACCTCAACTGGTTGAGGATTAAATGAGATGCACATATGAAAGCCCTGGGTGCTTTAACCAATAAGAGCACCTCTTTTGTCTTTCCTTTTTACCTTAAAATGAGAAATAACCTTGTAAATTTCATGTGTTGATTTTGTAACAACAAACAAAATTTATTACATACATTATATTTTATAATTTAGTGGAACGGCTCTGACAAAATAAAAATAGCTGTACATTGTGCTCCCTAGGAAAAAAATGTTTAGCTGAGATGAATATAGAGCACTGATGAGTATTAATAAACTAGATAGTGGAGATTTCAAGATAATCATGTCTACAGCATTGGTAAAGGTGGGACTCAAAAATTGTTTAATGGAGAAAAGAAACAGAAAAACTGCAGTCCAAAATGTTTTAAATTTTACCATTGCTTTCATTTCATTTGCAAGTCTCTGATCCCATTTTTAACGTATTATAGAGTGAAGTTTGTATAAGATGATATAATTTTATTATAAAATATTAATAAAGCACCCACAGGCATTATGAAAATGATTGTTACCATATCCATCCTGAATTGAAGCAGATGAGTTAGTGAGCACTGAGGAATATTATGCCGGATATATTCGGGGCTGCCTTTTAATTCTGTTTGCCAAGGAAAATGCCGTAAAGGAAGAATAAAAGTGTTTTCTAGCCACTCATCTGCAATTAAAAGCAGTCCATCTTTTGATTATAAAGGTGAATTTCAGGGTATTATTTTCAGCTCTTTGTTGAAACAAGCACCTCCTCTCTCCATTAACCTCCTGAGAGAAGGTGGTCTGCCCTTACAACTTAAGGCACATCTTAGAGCCTTCCATGTAATTTACACATTTCAAGTTTGCTAATGGGTTCTTTATATCAAAACTACCATACACAGAAAATCTTTCTTTGAATCTTCATCTTGAAAGAGACATAGAAACCTGTGAAATCCTCTATAGCTACTATTAAAGAGAAGGTTATATTAAACTGTGACTAAGTTAAACGGAGTTAAACTTTTGAGGAGTCAGACTTTACCTAGAAACTTAATGACAAATGCAAGAGGATATCAAATTCAAATCCAATTTCTTTTTCCTCCCAGCCTTTTCAGATTAATGCCAAGAAAATATATGCAGAAGAGACACCCATGTCATTGAACAAGAGGTTCTAATATTACATAACAGGTAATGTAATTTCCCATTTTACTATTTGATAGTCCTGTCTATAGCATACTCAGAGGAACCCTTGGGGAGTTGAGGGATTTATGAGTTCCACAAATCTTTCTCAATGCTGCTACCTTATGTATCACATTTAAATATGGCTATTCTTCATTAAGAAAAATCAAACAACCACAATAGCCATGACAGCAACAGAATATTTATTGTGCTTCTCCTCCATTGTGCGATGCTTATTATATCAAAGGGTTTTTATGGTGTTGGAATTGTTCCTCCAGGGCAAATAGGTGACTAATGATTAGAAAGACTGGTCTATGGTCTATGCAAGGGGTCAGCAAACTATAGGACCAGACCCAACTCTTGTCTGTGGCTTGCTTTTGTAAATAAAGTTTTATTGGAACACTGCCATGCTCACTTGTTTGTGTATGCTGTTTTTACACTTTAAGAGCAGAGTTGGGCAGTTGAAGCAGAGGCTGTATGGCCTATAAAACTTAAAATATTTACCTTTACAGAAAATGTTGGCTGAGATCTGGTCTATGCTATCAAAATTACTGACGTAAGAAGGTATTTCCTTATCACCCATAAAGGAAGGAGCAAAACAGCAGCTTGCTCTTAACAGCCTATTTCCAGAGTTGTGTTACCCTTTATTGGTGCCAAAGAAAGGAGAGAAGTTTGCAAGGTGGTGTTACATTTAGAACAGAGTGTTTCACTGTAGTTACTTTATCACCAAAAAGACTCAGGCAGCAGTGAAAATGGGGATTTAAAGACACATTTGTCTGAGAAAGAAAAATGACATTTAGGTCCTTTAAGAAACAAGTAGATTCCAGTAAGAAAATAAAGTTTATTCAAATGAGTTACTTTTACTTGCTTCTCCAGGCAAGTAGCTGGAGCTTTTTTGATTTTATTTTCTTTCTTTTTTAGAGGACAGGTGATATTTCTCTTTATGAGTTATTAAATGTGTACAATTCCCTTTAGGTCACTGTGTTTCAGATAAAACCATTACTGTTTCTTTTTTGCAATGAACTTCTCTTTTTCATGATTAAATGTGATGCTCTCTATTAAATATATGAGTGAATTCTAATTTATTGCTGTTTGCTTATTTACTCACTCATTATGTATTTGATTTGTGTATATTCACTCAATATTATACAGTGTAGTAATTATCATATGTGTTTCTTCTGTTTATCTCACGGGTTGCTTTTTCTTCATCGTCTTTGATGGCTGCTGCTCTTCTCTCAGTCGTCTCAGTGGTGAAAGGCCCCACTCAATCCTCGGAGTGCTCCTCTATCACTCACTCCTTTGATGGTGTGTTCCAGGCCTGGCTTTAAAGTTATTGATGATTTACAAATTTATATCTGTAGCCTGATTCACTCTGTTGCCTTCTACACTCTTATATCCAACTTTCTATCTAACGTCTCCACTTATAGTCAATATTCATCTCACACTTAACATTTCCAAAACTGAATCCCCAATTGCAATGGTTTATTTTGTGTCAACTTGGCTGGCCAGTGCCCAGATACGTGGTCAAACATTTTCTGGATATTTCTGCAAATGTTTTTGAATGTGATTAACATGTAAATAGGCAGACTGAGAAAAGTGGATTACCCTCCCCTACTGTGGGAGAGCCTCATCCAATCAGTTGAAGGCCTGACGAGAACAAAACCCGACCTTCCCTGAGCAAGAAGGAATTCTGCAGCAGATGGCCTTCAGACTTGACCTGCAGCATGCCTCTTGCAGGGTCTCTGCCTGCAGGCTCACCCTGCAGATTTTGGACTTGCCAGTCTCCATAATCAAGCCACTTCCTTCAAAATAAAGAGCTTTCTCTGTAGACACACACACACACACACACACACACACACACACACACACACACAATTGTTTCTGTCTCTCTGGAGAACCTTAAATAATATGTCAATCTTCTATCTTAAATTTGTGCATGCTCCACTCTTCTTTGACCCAGTTAAGAACAATTCTTAATTCTGTTCTTTCACTTGCCCAGGTCAGAAATCTTGGAGTTATCCTTGACTCTGTCCCTTTCCTCCCACTCCACAATCAATCCACCAACAAATCCCACTGGCTTTGCCTTCAGAATGTAACCAGAGTCTGACCCCTTCTCCTCTCTACTACCTCCTCCTTGGTCTGAGCTGTGGTCACCTTTCCATTGGATTACTAGTTCTTCTAACTAGTCCCCCTGCCTCTGCACTTGTCTCCACATTGTCTCATCTCACAGCAGCTGGGGTGATCAAAATTATTTACTAATCCAGTGAAAACTCCAGTAATTCATAATCTCATTTGGAATAAAAGCCAATGTTCCTAAAGTAGCTTCTTTGCACTTTCTAGAATATTCTAGACTTGGTCCTGTCTCAGGGTCTTTGCACATGTTGTTCCCACTATACAGCATGTTCCTTACCCAAAGAGCCACATGCCTCATTCCCTCACCTCCTTCCAGAAATGGCTCAGATGCTATTGGTGCAAATGAAACTGTGGTTTCAGACCATGAATTTTAAATCATTATAACTAGGTTCAAACACATCTTTATTAATCAAAATAGGAACCATTTTAATCAACACATTTTTGCCAATGAGATATAAGTTTGTTTATCACTGTAGCATAAAAATCTGCTTTGGGATTCAATGAACTCTTGGAAATACTTTTCTGCATCCTGCTGGCTGTAGAAGCGTTTTCCCTGCAAAAAGTTGTTGAGATGCTTGAGGAAGTGGTAGTCAGTTGGCGAGAGGTCAGGAGGGTATGACAGATGAGGCAAAACTTTGTAGCCCAATTCATTCAACATTTGAAGCGTTGGTTGCGCGACGTGCGATTGGGCGTCATTGTTGAGAATTGGGCCCTTTCTGTTGACCAATGCCAGCTCAACAATGCCAGCTATAGGTGTTGCAGTTTTCGGTGCATCTCATAGGTTTGCTGAGCATACTTCTCAGATGTAATAGTTCCTCCAGGATTCAGAAAGCTGTAGTGAATTAGACCAGCAGCAGACCACCAAACAGTGACCGTGACCTTTTTTTAATGCAAGTTTGTATTTGGGAAGTGCTTTGGAGCTTCTTCTTGGTCCAACCACTGAGCTGGTTGTCACTGGTAGTCGTATGAAATCCACTTTTCGTTGCATGCCACAATCCAATCAAGACATGGTTCACTGTTGTTGCATAGAATAAGAGAAGACAACACTTCAAAACAAAGATTTTTCTTTTTTTATTTTCAGTCAGCTCATGAGGCATCCACTTATTGAGCTTTTTCACCTTTCCAGTTTGCTTTAAATGCTGAATAACCATAGAATAATTGATGTTGAGTTCTTTGGGAACTTGTTGTGTAGTTGTAAGAGCATCAGCTGCGATGGTTGCTCTCAACTGGTCTTTGTCAACTTCCGATGGCCTGGCACTCTGCTCCTCATCTTCAAGGCTCTCATCTCCTTTGCAAGACTTCTTGAACCATCACTGCACTGTACATTTGTTAGCAGTTCCTGGGCCAGGCCAAATGTGTTGTTGATGTTGGGAGTTGTCTCCACTGCTTTACAACACATTTTGAACTCAAGAAAATTGGTCGAATTTGATTTTTGCTACCATCATTTCCATAGTCTAAAATAAACATAAAATAAACAGCAAGTAATAAGTCATTAGCAAAAAAAAAAACATAAAGCAAGAAATGCCCACTAAAGTTATGTATAACATAACCACATTTAAGAATATAGTCCAATATCAAACAGCAAATTCCAACAAAGCAAAAACCGCAATGACTTTTGCACCAAACTAATACTTTTGCAGAGACCTTCCCTAACTACCTAATTTATAATTGCTCCTCACTCTGCAACTTGTATTCTCTGTCTCCCTGCCATGCTTCATGTTTCTCTACTGCTTTATCAATTTCTAATATATCATAGAATTAACTACTTTTGTGTTCATTCTTTTCTTATTTGGTGTTACTTTACAATAACTTGTAATAATTACAAATATGCATTAAAACATACAAAATAATGTGTTATTTTGCAACATATTATTATCTATTTCAGCTATTTCTCTTTCATTCCATTTCTCCTGCCCCACTGGAAAATCAAGCCTATGGAGGCAGGAATTTAGTTTAATTTGTTCATTGTATTCTATTACCTAGAATAGAGCCTAGAACAAAGTAGTTGTTCAATAAATCAAATAAATGTCTCCAATCGCCTTCTGTATGCATGGTTCTTTACTGGGATGTTGGGACTACAAGAGCATTGTGAGACATGATTCTTACCCTTCAATTATTTATTATTTGGCTGTCCCAACTAACATTTTTTCTAGAAGAATACAGAGAAAATTATTCCTCTATGACTGGAGGGAAAGTGCTCAAAAACATACTCAACAGAAAGAATTAAATGTCCAGGTATGTGGAGCAATATTTGATTATCTGAAGGAAATAAATGCTGAAGGATTTCAGAGAAAGCACTAAAGTGTTGGAGAAAGACTCCATGAGGGAGAAGGACAAAGGAGGAGGGTTCTGAAGTACGGGAGAGTTGAAATAGGAAAGGGCTATTGTGGGACAGGGAGGTGAGATCTGCTCTACGCGGGCTGGTTCGTGGTCCCAGTGATTGTCTTGTGCTTTTTATCTTCCAAGCTGTAGGCCTTAGGACTCAGACCACATCCTTCTCTTCCTTGAAGATGCTGTTCACCACTACCACCAGCAGCACCAGCATATCTGTTTAATCCAGAGGTTCTTTCTTCATTAGGCCTTCTGTGTAAAAGAAGAGGGTTTTAAGATTTATCTGATAGAAAGATGGTTGGAGGCTGGGAATGATTTCAAATGGCAGTTGCAATAGCACGGAGGGATGTGAGATGATAATGGTGTGGCCTAAGGAGATAGCATGGGAAGGAAGAGGATGGATTCTCGTGGGTGGTGGGGGAGGCAGGATAAACTAAAAATGTGCAGGGTTTGGTGATTCGTCTGGCTACTTGTGATTCGAAGAGGACAGGTGATGTCATTAGTAGGGATAAAGAAGGAGGAAGGAATGATTTATTTGCATTTGGAGGTGTTCACAAGTTGTCTATAAGACATGTTACATGCAGGGTAACCATGGAACAGGCAAACAGAAATAAATGCCTTTACAGTGAGTTGTGTGTCTGGTGATGACATCCTAGGCCTGGAGTTAAGCATTTGATGGCTTTCTAGTCACAGGTGACAGTTACAGCAATGGTAAGATACAGGGCAAGAGTTTAAATAAAGGGAATGAGAAGTCAAAGACAAAGCTTTTGGGGATCCCCAGGGTTTGGGGTCCAGATGAAGAAAAGGAACCAGCATGGAAAATGGAACTGAGCAGTGAAACAAGCAGGAGAAAAGTCAGGGCTGAGTAGTTTAATTGATGGAAGTCAAGCCAGCACGAGTGTCTACGCGCGTTAAGCAATGATGAGCCTTTAGGGAGAACAAGAACCGAGAAACTATATGGGCCATGAGTTTTGTCAAGATAAAGTGAAGGTATTTGGTTAAAGTGAAGATAAGAAAGGGTTAACTTTAAAGCAGAGGACTGAATGGTTTCCCTCTGAGATAGGAGGGTAAAAGATGATCTTGGTGTTAAAGGTGGGGAAAGCGTGGCAGGAGGAAAGGAAGTGATTTTGTCGGGGCCTTTTTGTCACTGAGGGGTAGCTGTGGGAGCTGATCTGAGTTCTCTAAGGCCTTGTCCAGAAGGAGTTTCGTGCACAGGTGTGTGCTCCAAGGCTTAATGCCTGGAGGTGCAATTTTTATCCTCAGCTCTTAGAAAATGAAAGCTGGTTCACCAGGCAACCAAGGGAGGTCATTGATTTTTCTCTTAGAAGTGGGCTCCTTCTTTGCAGCTGGAAGGAAGTAGAAATGTGAGTCCTATCATCACTTTGAATCACTGAAAATCTCTGGCGGATTTTCTCAGCAGATGGTCCATTAATGTACATATTCTCACCAAAATGCAAGCTAAGATAATAAATTTAGTGGACAGATTTTCTATCTCTTCTTCCCCTTTCTCCCTCCAATGTGTTTTTTCTCCCTCCTTTCCTGTTACTTTATTTTTTTCCTTCTTCTAAAGTCATTTGCTTGCTGGACTGCGGATCAACGGGCTTCTGAAAGAGTCTCTACCAGACAGGGGTGCTGCTAGCTGAGCATGTGTTCAAAACTATCTCAAAGGTGATCTCTTGGGAGAAAAAAAGAGATAGAACATATCTATAGACCCACTGTGTGGCTCCAATTTCCTCTTTCTGTGTTCTGGATGGGCTGGAGTCTGTCTTATTTCATTCTTTTGACTGTTTGCCATTAACCCCTGAAGACGAGAAGAGAAACTATTGTCTTGGAGACTCAAATGTGGTCAGGGGGGCTTCCTTCGCGCTACGCTATCTTGAGACCAGACTCGGTTCTTACCCAGGCACCACCCAAGCTCTGGCAAGCAATGTTGGTGTTACTGATGCTTTCAAGAGAAATTAGAGTAAAACTATATATTTGCATTCCACAGGAAAAAAAAAACTCATAAAAATCATCTGAATACTTCTCTGCTTTTTCTTCTTTTGGATTATTTTCTCCCATGACTCCTGTTCTGAGCAACCTTTTCAGTGGCGGCTTTAGCTTTCCCTCCCTTCCAGCTCATACTCTAGCCCTCTCCCATGGTCCTCTTCTTAGTAGAATAATTTAGCTCTCTGCTTCTCCATTTGCAACCTCATGCTTTCCGCCTCTCTTAGTCAACAATGAACGTTACTTGGGCTGAATCCACCCTAGACAGCAAAGGGTCTGAAAATGATCAGTTTGTATTTGTGCATAGGATATTGACACACAAGATCATTTTGGAAGTCTCTTATTTAGTGATAAGCCTTTATCATTGAAGTTATATCAGAGTCCTGCTCCACCGTTCACACACAGGGGAGCAATAAGGAAGTTAGAGAAATATGGCCATTGGGTTTCGATGAAAACCATACGTTTTTGAGAAAATCAGCCATGGAAACATAGAGTATCAAAGTTTCTTGCAATGAGAAAACAGAGGCAAAACATTACATTTTTTTTTTTTTTCATTTTACTTCAATTTCTGGGATACATGTGCAGAACATGCAGGTTTGTTACATAGATATACATGTGCCATGGTGGTTTACTGCACCTATCAACCTGTCATCTAGGCTTTAAGCCTCACATACATTAGGTGTTTGTCCTAATGCTCTCCCTTCACGCCCACCCACCAAGGTGAGTGTTGTTCTCCTCCCTGTGTCCATGTGTTCTCATTGTTCAAAACATGTGGTGTTTGGTTTTCTGTTCCTGTGTTTGTATGTCTGGTTCTAGATCCTTGAGGAATCGCCATACTGTCTTCCACAGTGGTTGAACTAATTTACACTCTCACCAACAGTGTAAGAGAGTTCCTATTTCTCCACAGCCTCACTAGCATCTGTTGTTTCCTGATTTTTTAATAATCACCATTCTGACTGACGTGGGATGGTATCTCATTGTGGTTTTGTTTGCATTTCTCTAATGATCAGTGATGCTGAGCTTTTTTTTCATATGTTTGTTGACCACATAAATGTCTTCTTTTGAGAGGTGTCTGTTCATATCCTTTGCCCACTTTTTGACTGTCTTTTTTTCTTGTAAATTTGTTTAAGTTCCTTGTAGATTCTGGATTTTAAACCTCTGTCAGATGGGTAGATTGCAAAAATTTTCTCCCATTCCGTAGGTTGCCTGTTCACTCTGATGCTAGTTTCTTTTGCTGTGCAGAAGCTCTTTAGTTTAATTAGATCCCATTTGTCAATTTTAGCTTTTGCTGTGATTGCTTTTGGTGTTGTCGTCATGAAGTCTTTGCCCATGCCTATATCCTGAATGGTATTGCCTAAGTTTTCTTTTAGGGTTTTTATGGTTTCAGGTTTTATATTTAAGTCTTTAATCCATCTTGAGTTAAGGTGTATATATTTTTGCATAAGGTGTAAGGAAGGGGGTCCAGTTTCAGTTTTTTGCATATGGCTAGCCAGTTTTCCCAACACTATTTATTAAGTAGAGAATCCTTTTCCCATTGCTTGTTTTTGTCAGGTTTGTCAAAGATGAGATGGTTGTAGATGTGTGGTGTTATTTTTGAGGTCACTGTTCTGTTTCATTGGTCTATATGTCTGTTTTGGTACCAGTACCCTGCTAAAACATTACATTTTTAAAACTGCTGGGCAAGACAACTAGTGGTAACATACGGGTGTTGGAATGGAAGGAATTGATAGGAAATTATCATGTCTTGCGGCACTGCAGAAGTATGAAGTAACTAACTCAGGGAAATGTATTTTTAAAAACACAGCTTAAACAGTTTCTGTGAAACATTCTTAGGGAACTGAGGGGTCTGTAGGAGGTAGAGATTAGAGATTGCAAATACAGTGCCCACATGCAATGCACACACATCAATGCCAGCCTCCAGCTGTATGTGTGCATGTGTGTGCACATGACAGGCAGAGATTAGAGACTGCCAATACAGTGCCCACATGCAATGCACACACTAACCTCAGTGCCAGCCTCCAGCTCTGTGTGTGTGTGTGCGTGCACATTCCAGACAGAGATTAGAGACTGCAAATACAGTGCCCACATGCAACACACACACTCACCTCAGTGCCAGCCTCCAGCTCTGTGTGTGCACATGTCACTGTGGTTGATCATGTCAGGGTTTCTATCATGTGCTTCCATCGTTTTCCTGTCACCACCACGAGAGCCCTGGTTTGCTGTTCCTGGTCAGGATGCCACATTTTGATCAGTGTGTAAAAGAAGTTTTAATTACAACTGAGAGTACATGTGATTTGAATAGGTCTCGAGTAGAACATTGAGCTGATGGACTCTTCCATTTACATTAGAATAATGCTTTCTAAACCATGGATTATGAAATCAACTTACTGAGTTCTAACCATTTCCAAAATAAAATGAATGAAAATGCAAACAGGAGACTGCTTTCTATATACAAGGGAGACATTGTGTCATGAAACTTTTCTCTGTGTACAGTGGGTCTTGGTGTAAAATATATTCTTTGTTATAAGCCATCAAAGAAAAAAACGAGAAACACTAGGTAGAGGACCAATCATGTGTTTACATATATGCAACACATTTTGCCTTAAAAGTATAAAATAGAGCTTTTATTTTTCCATACACACATTAAAAAAAAACATGACCCTAGTGGGTCATAAAATCAATTTAGTAGGTCACAACAGGCATTATTAAAGACAAAGGAACAAAATAGAATAGAAAATATCAGAGCACTTTTTTATACCTGCTATATCATAAGACTTGCTTCTGTCATGCACACACATGAAACCTACATGTATGAGTAAGCTGGGATATGATATAACATATGTTCCCTAACTAGTCATGTAACTTTTAGAGACACTGTCATAGCCTATTCAGGGCAATGGACAATTTTACTCAGAGAACGCTCCATTGCTGAAGGGCAGTCGAGTGAATGGCACGCTGACTACAAACACAATTTAGTTCCTGCAAGCATCCTGCCCCAAACCCCAGTATTCTAAGGGTATCCAGAAAAATATCTCAACAAAAATGTCAAGCCCCACTGTTGCAGAGAGAAAGAGAACGTTTTTCTGTCTTCACCTTGTCCAGTTGGAGATGATGAGGAAATCTCTTCTGCTTTTTCTTCAGTGCTGGTAAATATTGAAATAACTAATGTTGCTTTTTGGAAGCTGATGTTAAGACCAAGTTTGGGATGCAAGATGCTGGCTAGGGATCAATAGCTGTGATGGGAGGGAGGAAGCAGAATGGGACAGAGGAAGTCAGGTGCCATGGAACCCAACAAAGGCTCAGGGAGCTCTGGAGTGAGTGGTGCCATTCAGGGTGCTCAGCAGAATTGGGCAGCGTTTCACACCCGGTCACCAGATGCAGGCTGTTCCTGGAAGGGAATGCGCCTGGGTTGGGGCACCATCTGCAGCTGAGGTGAGCCTTAAAGGAGCTGATGTCTGAGGCTGTCTGCCGACCACACTCCACAGCAAGTCCCTCCTTGAAGAGGGATCTGGGCAGCAAGTTTCCGCCATGACTGAAGAAGCCACATATTGTCCATGGATTGAGTATGGCTATAGATGCAAGGGTGGGTGGAGAGCCTGTCGTGGAGGAATGCCGAGAATTCAGTTATTCTTGAGCAGTGCCTGTTCATTCACCTAGATGTATTTGGTTGCTTTGTATCCCGGCTGTTGTCGGGAGAATGGACCCATACAAGGCAATACACTCATTCGTTTATTTACTGGACACAAACTCGTTAAGCAGGAGAACACTGTGTTGGTGGGGTTCCATTATGAGATGCCCTCTCTCAAGAATGCTCAATTTCTGAGCATTCATCTTTAATTTCTTACAGCAAGATTAACAATTGTTGCACATTTTAGGAATTTACAATTTTATAAGCTTCCAAAGCATATGTTATCTTATTTAATCATCGGAATGCCGTGAGGCAAGAATCATCAGTAATATCATTTTAAAAATGAGAAACTCAAGGTCAAATAAGTCAAACCACTCAATCAGTTTGTCAGTGGCTAAGGTGGGGCTCTGTGTTTTGTTCCTATGATTTTATTTTTATTTTCATTTTTATTTTTTTGACACTAGGTCTTACTCTGTCACCCAGGCTGGAGTGCAGTGGTGCAATCATAGCTCACTGGAGTCTTGACCTCCCGGGCTCAAGTGAGCCCCCTGCCTCCACCTCCAGAGTAACACCTACAAGGGTGCACCACCATACCTGGCTAAGTTTAAATAAATTTTATAGATATGGGGTCTTGCTATGTTTCCCAGACTGGCCTCCAAATCCTGGGCTCAGGCGATCCTCCCACCTCGGCTTCCCAAAGTGCTGGGATTATAGATGCGAGCCACTGCACCTGGCCCCTCTGATTTTATATAATTTGTTTTCTTTCTGCTGTATTATTTTGTTTTTACAGAAAGCTGAAATCTGCATCCCTACAGCTTCTATATCTTATCCAGGTTCAGTTCCCTGGATTTGTTAGAACAACAGTTCTAATTGATGCTTCTTAGGAAACTGCTCTGTGGGAATGGTTTGTTTCTGTCCCACCCGGCCTCAGCTGCTTGAATCGGGGAATTAGAATCATCTGAAGTTCTGCACACCCTGTGCCTGGGATCTGGCTACGAAGATCAAGGCACTGAGGTCTTGAATCCCTCGGGCCCCTCAGGCACAGCTACCTCTATGGGCTCTCTGTAACAGGGCAGCTTCTGGGTGGTCAGCATCCTCCACGGTGGCTCAGGGCTCCAGAGATACCTGTCCCAAGAGAGAACCAGGCAGAAAGCTAGCCACAGAAGTCACAGGGGGCCACTTCTGATGCATCTTATCCCTCACAAGCAAGTCGCTAGATTGATCCCTATTCAGGGAGAGGGAAATTAGACTCTACCTTCTGTGGGAAGAGTGCCAAAGGACTTGCAGACAATTTAACAACCATCCCACCTCTTTTGTATCTTTTGCTTCTTATCACCTCCCATGTCTGGGCATTAGTGTGCCCATGGATGTGGTCCTGTCGCTTCCAACCCACTGGCTGGCCCCCGGTTTCTGGCTTTTCTTCATTTCTGGTTTGACCTTGTGCAGCTATCACTGTCTTGTTTGCCTGTACCATGTCTCTTTCCGGGTGAGAAGGATAATTTTTGACTGCAGCATCAATCAGCAGAAGGAATACCATCTTGTGACATTTCCTCTCCTCCCAGCTCTCAACAGGTGAACGATTGAGTGGGGGTGAATATGAGGGGTAATCCCACAAAAGGCTCTGAAATTACCCAGAAACTCGTGACCCCACAGATTTGTGCCCTGGGCAGATGACCCAGGGGTACAGCTTGACCGAAACAGGTGTACAGGTAATCTCCTAGCGCCCCCCAGCAGCACAGGGACAGATACTACCTCCAGACAGACCCCCTTCCTGTGTTTAGAGGAGATGGCATCTATTTATAGAACTGACTCATCAGTCTCTGCTTGAGGTAGTGGGGGTATCAGAGATCCAATTTATTTCTTTTATTATTATTATTATACTTTAAGTTCTAGGGTACATGTGCACAACCTGCAGGTTTGTTACATATGCATACATGTGACATGTTGGTGTGCTGCACCCATTAACTCATCGTTTACATTAGGTATATCTCCTAATGTTATCCCTCCCCCATCCCCCCACTCCACGACAGGCCCAGTGTGCGATGTTCCCCACCCTGTGTCCAAGTGTTCTCATTGTTCAATTCCCACCTATGAATGAGAACCAACACAAGCACTTATCACTTGCACTGTTGCTGTAAGTGGGCTGAGAGCTAGTCACATAGAGCATATTTAGTGCAAAGAAAGTAATTCACCGAGTCCAGCTCTCCTGTGGTTAGTGGACTTCATACCTAGGCTTGCCTCCTGTAAGCAGAACATAAACAGCCCATTCAAATTAAGAGCTTGTTGAGAACCCACATGGCTGTAACCAAGGCAGCAGCAGCGGCTGCGGCCGCAGCCTCAGAAAGCAAGTGAAGATTCTATTATTTCCCTGGTATTCATAAAAGGGCCACTTTACAACTGTGATCTCAACATGTGTAGAGATTTCACTGAATTTTAAATTTCAGGGCCGACTTTTACAAACAGACATTAAAACTAATAGCTGTGTGCCTGGTGCTTTGAAAGCAAAAGGTGTATTGAGGCAGGATTTGTGCAAAGCTCGTGGGGAGTCACAACAGAGAAAGAAAATGAATATGCAAATGCATAAACAAAAATCCTCTTCATGTGGAATGTTATTACAGATCCACATGGAGAAAGGAACCTTTAAAACGACCATTTCTCTTTGTTGCATGGCTCAAGATGGCTTGGAACTGGGAATCCAGGAGGCATTTTCAATGCATTTTCCATGGTCCCTTGTGAAGAGAAGGGGTGGGTGGAGATTGTGCCAAAGCTGTGCTGTACCAGTCTACCCTGGGTCTAGGGCTGTTTTGGTTTCCTAAATGGACTGTGGGATGAAGAGTGGTTTATTCATTTTCAAACAAAGCCAAGTTTGTGAGCAGCAGACTGATTCCATTCAAAAGGCCAGAGGAGAGGTCAGAACCTACCAGAACTAAACTCACTAGAGACACATGCAAAGGGATGTATTCAACCCCCAGCCCCACCTTCCCATACACACACTCAGGTGTGTGCAACATTGGTATAGCTTGAGCACTGGCTGATTGAGTGTGAGTATAGAAAAGAAAAGACCTAAAGGTTGCAGTGACCCACGGTGTGAAAATCAGCCACAAAACCTCATTGTAGAGCAAGAGACATTAAAAACAAGTGCATTAAACCTGTTTTATTTTCAATAAAAAATTAGGGAATCTCCCCTGCACCACAAAAGCTAATTTCTCAATACTACAAATTGAGGGTTCTTTCCTTTCTTCACTCCTGCCATGTGAGATTGCAAAAGAATTTTAAGGGCATTTTCTCTAACCCATTCTGTTCAAAGCAGGGCAGTTTCTCAGATTTGGGCCCACAGTCTAGTGGGGTCTAATATAGGACTGTGGGCCTTAGACCAGGGGGAATACTGAGAAGCCATGTGCAGATGGACCTGTGGCTTTGCTGCCTGATAGATTGGCATTGTGCAAGCTACATTTGTCCAGTTCCAGGACTGAGCTTCTGCCTCATCCAGGTCCTCATGGTGGGATTTGAGTATCTCAGCCCATTTGGATGCAGCTCTGAAAACATTCCTGGTCCTTGTCAGTGCCCTCTCCTGAAGAAGGTGATTTTTTTCAGCAAGTGGCTGAGGACTGATTCACACCAGTTTCCAAAACTTGCCTTGGTCTGCAGTCTCTTGATGTTATGCGTCACACGACAAGTTGGATTCCCAAGAGCATTGGGTTTAAGACTCCTGATCCCCCATCTCCTTTCCAGCCAAATCTAGTGCTGGGTTCCTCCAGCATCAACCACCTGTTCCTGCTGGTTTATTTTCTTCTCCAGGGAAAAAACAAAGATAATCAATGAAAGTTGCAAAGGGGAGCTTTGGCTTATTTTTGTCCCTCTACCTATCAGAGAATACCTTCTTCTCTGAGAGATATAATTCAAAGGGAAAGTTTGATTCCCATTGCCAGTGTTTGCAGTAAGAGGAGAGAAGGGGCAGCCTCAGCCCTGGCTGGGTTGTTTTGAAGCTCTATATTAAAATTCTTATTGCCACCCTAGTAAGATTGATAGTAATCACCATAAAGACCATCTATCATTAGTTGTCCTGAGGCTGCGATGTAACAGGAGTGAAATTAACTTCAGCTCTCATCTTCCTCCACACTTCCTCTGGGTCCCTGGTGAGGTCTGAGCCTCAGGAGTACTTGTAGCAGGGTGGAGTATTCTCATTCCCCACTTGCCAGGAAAACTGTAGGGAGGGCTTGTCTTCCTGTGCCTTCAGCCAAGGAGAAGTTAATCAGGCTAGAAATTGCATCTCTCAGATTTCTGGAAAAACTCATTCAAAGAACATCTTTACTATGTAGTTAAAGGCTGGGTGTTTAGGGTGGGGGAAGAATGATTAGGAGGAGCATGGGGGAATTTTAGGGCATTGAAAACACTCTTTGTGATACTACAACAGTGGATTTTTCATGCCATTATACATTCGTTCAAACCCATACAACGTTCACACTAAGAGTGAACCATGATATAAACTCTAGATTTGGGGTGATAATGATGGTTCATCAGTTGCAACATAAGTACCCTCTGGTGGGGGATGTTAATACTGGGTGAGGCTGTGCACATGTGGAGGTAGGGGATACAGGGAACTCTCTGTACCTCCTGCTTAATTTTGCTGTGAACCTAAATCTGCTGTAAAAAAAAAAAAAAAAAAAAAAAAAAGCCTAAAAAGAAGCAGCAGCTGGGTTACCAGTTATTCTACATGAGTTGGAAGTGGAGGATTCAACTGTTCCCTAGACTGTCTTCTAATCACCTATTTTTCTTGTCACATTACTCATTACCCACTCCTGCTAACACCAGTTTTGAAGCCTTTCTGTAGCTCTGCCAGAAATTGTGGCTTTTATAACTGCTGCAGCCTTTCCCTTAAGTAATAGATTATGGACTCCGGCCCCCTTGCAATTTTTCTGTTCTCTTCATGGGTGTGGGTAAATCACTTAGTCCTTCTTTACTACTATTTCAGTAAAGTTTCAGGGAGGCACATACGTGTTCTCAGTCTGCCATCTTGAACTGAAACCCGGAAAGCATTTAGACAAATATTTCTGGGTCCCAACCCCATACCTACTGAATCTAAGTTACCTTGTCTGCTGGCCAGATAAAAAGAAAAAGGTAGGTGTGTGTGTGTGTGTGTGTTTTAAATCTCCTGATGACTCTGAAGCAAACCTTCCCTTGAGCAGTGATTGGCCCCTGGGCTGCTGGATCCAGCCCCAGGTCCCAGGCAGATGGGCAATCTGCTCTTTCTCTGCTACCCCAGCCATCCAAACAATTTATATTTTCATTTTGTCCACCATGATATTTCATACTTTTGTGACTGCCTGGATTTCATACGTTGTCTTTTTCACTTGATCAATTACATTCATCCTTCATTCTGTCTTTGATGGAAAACCTTTTTAGTTGCTCTCCTGCCTACAGGGCCTTGCATAGGATGGGCACTTGATATAATAGCATGATTTATACTAGAATTCAGCTGGGTTATGTGGATTAACATGGCGGAAGAAGGACAATGCTAGCAAATAACTAAAAAGTATAGTAGCTCAAAGAACAACTGTATTTTCTGGGCTAATAAATGATAAGAAATTAAATGTTTCTTAAATTGAAATAGAAAAAAAGCATGCAATTAATTTCTGTATTTCCCTTTTGACCTCAGAAGCCTCCATGTCATTTTTTATTTTCATCTATGTCTTTAAATTTTGTGCAACTCCTTAGGTCATGAAAGAGGTACCGTCCTATATCCTATGATAGCAGCCCAGCTGTGTGTTAAGACACAACCTAAAGAAAAGTTTATGTAGGGTGGGAGGCGGGAATGTAAATGTTGTTCACTGGCTGTGTTGAGCTGAATGTACCAGGCTTAGAAGTACAGTCCTCTGGATTCCAAGTGTGATGACAAAGAGAAATAGATTCAGATGTCAGTGAAGACAAAGGCATGTTTATTTAGACATACGTTTCAATGTCGTCTCCTGGGGAAAGCTTACTTCATGCTGCAGCCATAGGAAAGGGCTTGGAGGGTCTCAGGTGAATAAGCCTATATGCTAATTTACTAATTAGCTTCAGGGACTTAAATTTTACTCATCATGAATGCAAAATCTGATGCTTCCCATTGTGCCAGATGCTTTCGCAGATCAAACCCTGCAGAGAGGAATAATTTTTCTCTTGGGGAGGAATTTTATAAGCTGTTATATTACCTTCTACATTGCAACGAACCTCTTCTGGATCCATAAGTTTTGTAACTTAGAATTTTTTTTTTTTTTTTTTGGCATTGCGGTAAAAGACAGATAATCAATTCAATTCAGACATCTACTGAACACTTGCTCGGTTTCCACCTGGAATCTGAGCTCCTGACACAGGAATTGTCTTACCCATTTTTGCAACTGCAGCACTAGCTACAGTGCCAGATAGATAGTAGGGCACCAAGAAATATCTGTTACGTGATTGATGAATCATTGAAGAGCAGAAGGGGAAGCTGGTGGAATCATATCCTGCCTTTGTCTCCGTCCATGAGGAACTCACAGTCTACAGCAGGGATCACACAGTGACGTGTCTATAGGGCCAGGAATGTAGAAATGAATGAGTGAAATGAATTGAGTAGAAGAAAAACAAGCTGCCAGAAATATAGTCAATCTTTCTCTATTTTTAAAGATGTATTATTATAAGGTCATAACAAAATATGTGTAATAGTAGAGAATATGTTATCAATTTGAAAGTAAAAGTTAAAATAAATGTACTTAATATGTCTTATAATATATTTTAATACATTTTAATATGCAATTCATTAAAATTTTTATTTATGCTTTATGATTTTTAATTTTGTCATTCATCATGCTTTTGACTAGGATATAGAAACATGACAGTTCCTTTTTACTTTTTTGTCCGAACGTGACAATGTCAGATTGTGTGTTCTGTGTAAACCAGAATTCATCCTTAAACCTTTAACAGTCAGTGACATGTAGTTTTCTGCGGTTTCATAATGAAAACCAGCTGTTCACAAATATAGGTATTTTAATGTGGATAGATTCTTGCACAGTGATTTTCATTGTTAAAGTAACTACTCTTGAGCTATTTGTAAAATTCTGCTTTTCTAACATCATTGTAAAATTTACTTTTCAGTGAAGTGTAGTACAGTAAATTCCATTTGTAGTTTTTATTCAAATTACATTAAATCAGAGTGTGAATTGAACCCTGTAAGTGCACTGCATAAAGTTTGAAATCTGAGATTTTTTTTTCTTTTGCCATTCAGTCTTCAGATCTACAGTTTTGGAAGTGTTTCATTTGCATTTCAGAAAATTGGTTTGAGAGGGAAACTGAGTGGTATGACTTCTTTTAAAATGACATGTGAACAACTTCGTAGGAAGTTAAAATTTCATGGGACGTGTTAATGTCAACCCAAAAGGCTAAACCTGTATTCATGCTTTGCTGGTGAAAGGTGGTGAGATGTTTTTCTTTGTATTGAAGTAACATGCCTATTTTAGCCAAAAATTGATACAAATCTCTTTGTCACCTGGCACAACCAGATCATCTGACCTCCATGTTGTAACACCATGCCACACTTTGAGTCCAATAGGTATAATCTGTCTCTGGTTGTACATCTAGGGGCAGAGAGTGTTCAAGATGTTGCACTTCTTAAAGTTTTATAATAAACTATTATTCCTGAGTGAATGATTTAACAGCTAAATACAATGCCTTTGCACACTATTAACATATTGCAGTTAAGTACGCTAGCAAGTCTAACTCTGACCTTGACCGTAGCTTATCTGTAGTTCAATTTACTAATTGGGACCAGTTCACATTAAATTTTCCAAAACTTTTCTCAACACAACACAACATGTCATGTCCTGATATGTGTAGCTGTCACTGGTACCATGTCCAGAGGTTTGGTCATATCAAAACTCAATGGAAAAGATGAACAAATACAACTAACTGGCAGCTATCATCTGTGCTTGCCTCAACTGTAATAGAAAATATCATATAACTTATCTATTTTTAAGCAACTTGCCCTGAAAATTCTCAGCTTTATTGTTAGAATTCAGAACAAAAGCAACTGTGGTTAGATTTATAAATGCTTCTTTCTTTCCCATACCTAGCCACCTCTGTAGATGCTCGCTATAAACTCACCAACTGAAAAGGTTTTAATGCCTGGGCCAAGTTTTCACTTAATGTATAACTGTGTTCCCCAGCAGCATTGCTTATTTTACTCACACTATAAATAAACCTCTTGAAATTTTATTTTGTTTTTCATTTCATTAGATTTTTTTGTCATACTTGATTCAGGTGAAACTTACTGTGAATTGCTTTATATTGACTTTCTAAATTATATTCTTTTAACAAACTTTTTTCATACCAAACACTTTTTTTTATACTAAACATACAGGACTATTCTTTCATCTAGCAAAAAAGCGAGTTCTTTCCCATTCTGATTAACAGCTTTGGCCTCTTGGTGGATCTTGTTTTATCAACTCTCGGAAACGTGAATGCGAGATAGCTATCGTTTTCTTCCTTAAAAAGCAATAGGGAAGGCATGGTGGCAAAAGGCAAAAACGTGAGACCACAACCTTGGGAATGGCAGGGAGTGGCAGAGGCTGGAATACTGGGATGATGGTGCTTATCTGGGGGCTGCAGCCACTGTTCAGCCCCAGCCAGCAGCGGCCATAGACATGTAGGCTTAGGTTCTGCACATGAACTGCTGTTTGCAATAGTTACAGAGGTCACCTAGGAACAATTTGCAATATAAACAGTTCATCTTACTCTTAAATTTGTTTATATGTGTTAATTATTCATGCTTTTCCCTCCATATATTATTCATGCTTTTGTTTTCTATATTTTGATGCTTTGACATCTTGGGGTCTTGTTAACTTTGGAGGAACTCTTCCCTCGCCTATCCAGGGTTAGTCAATTCCTAGAGAAGGCAAACAACTCACCTATCAGCATACCTTTTGTATGCAAACTAGCCAATTATTTCTTCTTTTTTTTTTTTTTTTTTTCTTTTTGAGATGGAGTCTTGCTCTGTTACCCAGGATGGAGTGCAGTGGCATGATCTCGGCTCACTGCAACCTCCAACTCCCAGGTTCAAGCGATTCTTCTGCCTCAGCCTCCTGAGTAGTTGGGACCACAGAAGCCCACCACCACACCCAGCTAACTTTTTTGTTGTTGTTGTATTTTTAGTAGAGACAGGTTTCACCATGTTGGCCAGGCTGTTCTCGTGCTCCTGACCTCATGATCCACCCACGTTGGCCTCCCAAATTGCTAGGATTACAAGCGTGAGCCACCATGCCTGGCCCCAGCCAATTATTTCTAAGACCTCCTGTGCCCGATTCTCACACTCTGAGCCACTATCCCCTGCTCTAATCACCCTGATGCCAGGTGCCAGGCAGCTGTGGACAGGGGACTCCTATGAGATGTCCCCAGAGCCTGCTGACGTGTCAACTAGCTGATCCTAACCTGCTCACCTTGTCTCCACCATTCCTTCCCACGAAGACCACGATACAGGTTCTTGTCCACATTTTCACCCACTCTCTGCCTCCTAAGTGACCCAGGTGTCTCCACGTTACCCCCATAGCATGCCATACCTCTTCCTTTGGGATCTGTGAGTAACAAACTATCTTTTCGATGGCAGCTGTCTCCTGAACTGTCGCCCCCACCATACCTAAATAATACTAAAACTTCAGTTTTGAAATCATAAGAGACTAGCTGTAACACGAAAAGTGGTAAAAATTCTTAAATTAGCAACCAGATATAGATCCAACACTTGAATTGTAAATTATTTTATATTCATAAAAATGTTTAATGAGATTTATTTAAACTTTCTAAAGTTTTAACTTTAACATTTCTTAAGTGATTTTGAATAAATATTTTGATATTGATTAATCATGATTTGTATTTTAGAAGAAAATATGTTTTCTTATGGAAAACATGAAACAAATGATAGTTAAACTTTTTAACCTTAATTCATGTTTTTTTTTGTTTTGTTTTTTTTTTTTTATTGATCATTCTTGGGTGTTTCTCGCAGAGGGGGATTTGGCCGGGTCATAGGACAATAGTGGAGGGAAGGTCAGCAGATAAACAAGTGAACAAAGGTCTCTGGTTTTCCTAGGCAGAGTGTTTGTGTCCCTGGGTACTTGAGATTAGGGAGTGGTGATGACTCTCAACGAGCATGCTGCCTTCAAGCATCTGTTCAACAAAGCACATCTTGCACCGCCCTTAATCCATCCAACCCTGAGTGGACACAGCACATGTTTCAGAGAGCACAGGGTTGGGGGTAAGGTCATAGATCAACAGGATCCCAAGGCATAAGAATTTTTCTTAGTACAGAACAAAATGAAAAGTCTCCCATGTCTACTTCTTTCTACACAGACACAGCAACCATCCGATTTCTCAATCTTTCCCCTCCCCTTTCCCCCCTTTCTATTCCACAAAACCGCCATTGTCATCATGGCCCGTTCTCAATGAGCTGTTGGGTACACCTCCCAGACGGGGTGGTGGCCGGGCAGAGGGGCTCCTCACTTCCCAGTAGGGGCGGCCAGGCAGAGGCGCCCCTCACCTCCCGGACGGGGCGGCTGGCCGGGCGGGGGGCTGACCCCCCACCTCTAATTCATGTTTTTAATGAAAATATATTTAAATTTTGTGTATCTTAAGTAAAACTATTTTTAATCTTTTAGATCATTACTATTAATAAAACAAATTGTGTGAATATTGATTATGACAACATAATAGTGATTTTATTGAAATCAATCCAGCAAAACAAATTTAGAGAAATAAATAGAAAATAATTTATGAATTATTTACCCATATTTCATTACTTCTTCGAGCATCATTGGTCTACCCAATGCATGCCCACAGCATGCCCAGACATGCGCAATAATAATAAATTCAGTTGTCATTGGTATTTTGATGATTTGCTGTCAGATAGAGAACCATAGCTTTATCCATATTTAAAAATTTTGTCATTATGCTGGCATGTTTGTTAAAATAGGAAAATAGAACACATGCTTTTTAATAGTTTGATTGACTTATGACTTTTTTTTTAAGAGGCGGGATCTCACTCTGTCACCCAGGCTGGAGTGGAGATGTGAACAGAGCTCCCTGCAGTCTCCAACTCCTGGACTCAAGCAATGCTCCTGCCTCAGCCTCCCAAATAGCTGGGACCCCAACCATATAACACCATGCTCGGCTAATATTTTTATTTCTGTAGAAATGGGGTCTCACTTTGTTGTCCAGGCTAGTCTCAAACTCCTGGCTTCAAGCAATCCTCCCACCTTGGCCTCCTGAAGCTCTGGAATTACAGGTGTGAGCCACCATGGCTGGCCTAATTTATGATTTTTAAATGTTTAGGTATATGGTTTATTGGCCTGCCTTGATCTTCTAGCCCAAGCCCCACAAATTTAGAGGCAGGTGGCAGACACACTTCCTTCCTTCCTGTTTCTCAAACTGATAAACCTCCTCCTACCATCTGTTCTAGCATGAAGCTTTTTCTCTGAGATCTTCTGATGGCCCCTACCTTGGTCATTGAGTCTCAGCTTCAACACCACCTCTGTGGGAGGCTCATCCCTGATGATCCAGGCCCTGTAGCACTACCTTGCTTTATTTTTCTTGTATCTTGTATCATTTCCAGCTATTTCCAAATCTATAACTCTGTATATATTCTGTCTTCTATCTCTAGGCTGTAGACCCTTAATCAATTAAATCAGAATCCGATGTAGGGCCCGGCAGCAGTATTTTTCTTAAATCACTTAAAATACTCTGTAATGTGCAGCCGGGCTTGAGAACTCTCGCCCTGGGGTTGCACTTAGTGATATGCTCAATAAAAGAAACAGAAACGTTTAGGGAAGCCTTGTTTGCAACAGAAAAAAAAAAGTTTAAAATAACTGAAATATATAGCATCAGGAAAATGGAGATGTAAATTATGGTATATTCATAAAGTATAATACATACTATACATCGTTTAAAATAAATTACTTAGAACTACATAAATCAGCATGGATAAATCCTCCAAGTACATCGAGTAAGAAAAGCAAGTTATAGAAAGATATGTATGGCACAGCCCTATTTATAAAAAAGTGAAAAAGACGTAAAACTGCATGATGTATGAGTATGTACATCTGTAAGAAAATTTAATTTTTGAAAAAGTTTTGGAATGACAAACACCAATTTCAGGAAAGTGGTTATTTCTGGAAAGGGAGATGTACAAGGATTAGGGAAAAAAAAAAAACCAAACACAGCAACTTTACCTCTTTGCTTTATTTCTTAAAAAAGACAAGAAAGATCTAAAGTGAACGTGGGAACGTGTTGGGTTTAACACAGCTTACTCTTTCCACTTTTCTGCATCCTTGAAATATTTTGTAACAAAAAAAGATGATAAATTTACACCATGTTTTTTGAGGTACTATCAATAGGGGTTAATGATCATTTTTGTCAATCATCTGGCCTTTTCCCGTATTTTTGCAGCAATTATTTTCTTAACTCACTTCTAAGTCTTCTTTAATATCTGAGAATGTAGAGAAAACCTGAGAGCCATCCGGGTTCTTCTCACACTTTAATAAGGAAATTTTGCTCCTGCCCTTTGGATGCTTATTGAATCCTACTTAAATTTCCCATTCTCAGAAAAGTCTAAACCATGGTTCTTATCCCTATGCTCATGACTCATCCATTAATTCATTTGCTTACTAATTCAATTAGTATTTCTGAACACATTTTTTTTTTTCAGAGTCTTGCTCTGTCACCCAGGCTGGAGTGCAGCAGTGTGATCACAGCTCACTGTATCACTGTAGCCTCGACCTCCTAGGTCCAGGTCATTCTCCCACCTCAGCCTCCCAAGTAGCTGACACTACAGGCATGCACCACCACACCCACCTAATTTTTGTATTTTTGGCAGAGTGGAGGGCTTACTATGTTGCCCAGGCTGATCCTGAACTCCTGAGCTCAAGTGATCTGTCCACCTTGGCCTCCCAAAGCACTGGGATTACAGGCACACGCCACCATGCCCAGCCCAAACACACTTCTAAAGTGGAGGTGTTGGTAGAATTTTATTCTGAATATACCTTCTCTTACCCTGTTCCTCAGTCTGCCTTCAGATCTCAACTTAAAGTATCATTTTTGTTGTGTTTATGGCATATGTATTTCAGATAACACGAAGAATTTCACAGCTAGTTATATTATTCATTTTTAGATTCTCACCCACTTCATAAGGTGTGATTTAGATTCCTGAAAGTTCCCCACGTGTCACTAACAGAACAATCTGAATGGAAAACGCAAGGCTTGTGTGAAGTTCCGTAAGAATGGATGGTCTTGGAGCCAGCTGGTGGGGCCTTATAATTCCTCCTCTAAGGCCAAAGCTCTGGGGCTCTACTGAATATCCAGAGGGCCTTAGAGATGTGTCATTTATTTATTTATCTTTTTTGAGACAGGGTCTCACTCTGTCGCCCAGGCTGGGGTGCAATGGTGTAATCATAGCTCACTACGGCATGAATCTCCTGGGCTCAAGTGAGCCTCCTGCCTCAGCCTTCTGAGTAGCTGGGACTACAGGTGTGAGCCACCAGGCCCGGTTTATATTTTAATTTTTTGTGGAGATGGGGTCTTGCTATGTTGCCCAGGCTGGCCTCCAACTCCTGGCCTCAAGCAATCCTCCTGTCTTGCCCTCCCAAAGTAATGGGCCCACGGATGTGTCATGATGTATTACAGTTCCTGTTTCTTGAGGCCCCAGATCACGTCTACCCCTCCTGTAGCCCTGGCATTTGTCCTTTCCATTAGTCATGTCTTCACTTAACAGCAACTTTCTGTTTCATGTTGTTGGGGACTTGGTGCCATCCCATTGACTTAAGATACTGGAATTACTGGGTGTTCCTCTTCTCCTATCTTTTTTATCAAAGTCTGCTAGGCTTTCAATTACCTGCTAATACCTACCTTTGATATATCCTTTTTCTTTCTTTCTTTTCTTTTCCTTTCTTTCTTTCTTTCTTTCTTTCTTTCTTTCTTTCTTTCTTTCTTTCTTTCCTTTCTTTCTTTCTCTTTATTTCTTTCTTTTTCTTTCTTTCTCTTCTCTCTCTCTCTGTCTCTCTCTCTCTCTCTTTCTCTGTTTCTTTTGAGACAGGGTCTCACTCTGTTGCCCAGGCTGGAGTGCAGTGGTATGATCTTGGCTCACTGCAGCCTCGACCTCCTGGCCTAAGCAATCCTCCTGTCTCAGCCTCCCAAGTAGCTGGGATTACAGACACGTACCACCATTCCTGGCTAAGTTTTTCTATTTTTTGTAGAGATGGGGTTTCACCATGTTGCCTGGGCTGGATATTCTTTGCTTTTAAAAATGTAGAGAAAAGCAAAAAAAAAAAAAAAAAAAAAAAAAAGGAAAAGAGGAACAGAGGAACATACATTTTTTTAAAAAAATCAGTCAGATCCCAGTTTATTCCCCAAATTCTTAATTAAATTCCCCAAGTGAATTTACAAAGGAAACTCCACACAGCACACCACAGAAGCCCTGATAAAGTGTGTTGTCCCCAAAGCTTAGAAAGACATGAGTACAAATCCGATAGAACCTGGGAAACTGCACTTTTCTGTGGGGGGGGAGGTGAGGGATGATTCAAGTCAGAGCCTTACTTTTCATTCAAGTGTGAAAGAAACACAACTTTTCAGGATGAAATTGGCTGGAGGGAAATGTCACGCCGGCATGTGCAGTCTGACGGGGGACAGCTGGCTGGAAAGGCGTAAATCAGAAACCAGCCTCACCTCCTTGCTGTGGAAATTGCCACCAGAATGCTTATAAATAGCGCTCTCTGTTCCCAGTTCTGTCAGGGGGAGCAGTGGGTATTTTGATGAAAGCCACCCCTGTCTACAGCTCAGAAGCAGACTCAATGGTTTCCTTGTGAGAGGTCCGGCTCCCTGGCCTAGAAATGGAGGCCTCACGGGCAGGAGGTACCTGGGACTCCGTGGGGGCTGTGATACTAGGTTTGCCTGGGGAGTGGGGGCCCTTTGGGACCAGAGGGCAGAGGCCTTGGGCTGTCATGGCTCAGCGGGCAAATCCTACAGATTTTAGTTGCCCAGCAGAGGTCAGGAAAGTTGACCCAGAGCTCAAGGAAGCCACACTCTCAGCCCAGCCTGTGCATTAGCCCGAGGCTTCTTTAGATCCCTGAACTATTGGTTTCCTGAGTTTGGAGAGTTGGGATGGACAGTCCCAACTAGGTGCTCCTAGCGTCTTCCAAACTACTTTTCGCCTGTGACTATCGAGTTCAACCAAATCCCATAAACATTCTGCTAAGCCCTAGGGGATCTTTATTTTTATGGGGGCAATACAGAGTTCCCAAATATTTCTGACCCATCGGACCTGGCCGTCTCTGATCACAGAGGCTGTGGTTCTGTCTGTCATTTCCCTGTAATGCTAGCGAAATGCACTCCACATAGGTGCCGGTTTCCCGCCTGTTAAACGGAGGAGTAACCACTTCACTGGTCTGCTTGGGGCCCAGTGCGATGCCTCTGAACCTCTGTTCCAGAAGAGTGCAGTGGAAATTCCAGGGCAGGCTGTGAAAGGAGCTTCCTTCTGTCTTCAAGGGCATTAAGAGACTCCACTTATAGCCACGCTGACTTCAGGCAGAGAGAAGCATTAGCTTCAGGAAGAGGCATTCTTCGTGGAAACCAGAGAATGTCCTCTGTGCATTGCTCTGGGCAACTCATTGATTAAAATGCAACTCAGGCAAATCAAACACAAATAATATTGAATCTAGGACTGATCAAAGTCAGAGATAATCCCAGACAACGCTTGAAGTTGTACAGAAGCATATGTGTGTGTGTTTTCTTTTTTTTTTTTTTTTTCATATGACTGCCAAAAGAGGTGGAGAAAGAGAATGTCTGGATCCTTCTAGGGGCTGGTTAGAGGGACTGGAAACACGGGTTCCAGGCCTGGCTCCTTGTGTGAGGCTGCAGCACAGCAGCCCCTTGTCCAAAGGTGCTCTGTTCCAAGACCACCAGTGGATGTCTGGAACTGCAGGTAGTACCGGACCCTTCATATACTGTGTTTTCTCCATCTGATAACCAAGGTGGCTACTGAGTGACCAGTGGGTGCATAGTGTAGACAGCTGGATGAAGGAAGAGTTCACATCCCAGGCAGATCAGAGTGGGGCAGTGCAGGAATTCATTACTCTACTCAGCACAGGGTGCCATTAAAAACTTGTGAATTGGCTGGCCGGGCACGGTGGCTCACGCCTGTAATCCCAGCATTTTGGGAGGCTAAGGTGGGCGGATCACGAGGTCAGGAGATCGAGACCATCTGGCTAACACGGTGAAACCCCGTCTCTACTAAAAATAGAAAAAATTAGCCGGGCGTGGTGGCGGGCGCCTGTAGTCCCAGCTACTCGGGAGGCTGAGGCAGGAGAATAGCATGAACCCAGGAGGTGGAGCTTGCAGTGAACCAAGATCGTGCCATTGCACTCCAGCCTGGGTGATAGAGAGAGACTCCATCTCAAAAACAAAAACAAAACACAAAACATATGAATTGACTATTTCTGGAAATTTCCATTTAATACTTTCAGACATGGGGGACTACTGTCATTCCATGTCGAGGAGTCAGTCTCTCATCTGCTATGCCACAGGAGGGAGGGCTTGAATGAGGCAAGGGCACAGGCTTCCCCCAGCATCCGTGGTCTCTGGTTCAAATCCGTCCTTCCCAGGTTTCTTGCTAAAGGCTGCGGAAAGGTGACCCAGGGCCTGGCGCGTCCCCCCCGGAGCACCTCCTCCTGCTTGCACTTTTTTCCCTCGCACATCCATTTAATCTTAGTTTCTGTAACTGGTGAGCAAAAGCAGCTGTTTCCTTTGCTGACTCTACCTTCTTTGGGCTGTCAACATATGTACTGCTTGCGATGGCTTTGGGGCCAAATGCTTATGTTTGATTAACTCAGATTTAAAACACACCAACCATGGAGGCACTAATTCTGCTGGATTTATCTGTCACGTCAGTAGCTTTCAAAAAATAGCATGGCTCCTAGTTAGAAAGCACGAAAGCTGCATCTGCGGCCGGGCAACCAAGGAAAAGGCAATTTTAGATGGGATTTTCATTTGATAAAACCCAAACTCCAGGTTGTCTCTTTAAGGACCAAGGATCACCCACAAAAGTGCTTTTAAGTTATGTTATTCAAGGAGAAGAACCCATCTATATTCTGGTTCTGACCAATTATGCTTTCACTCAGTTTATCTTCTTAGGTTTTAAATACTTTTCTATAAAAAAAAATCCTTCAAAATGTAGTTTTATGATGAGTCAAGTACTGCTGCTGTGCCTTAAGCTAGAATAAAACCCACAGAATACATTTAAATGAATTACAAAGTGTATTATACTCTGAAAATCAGCATTCAAATGCACATTAATTTTCGCAGCTCTTAAATACTTCGGTTGCTGAGGAACTGCCTCCATTCTATAATTGAAATAGCTCTTCAGATGCAATTTAGTTGCTGATTGGTTTTTAAGTATTTTTAAAAGCTAACAGCTCAGACAGAAAAAGGTGGTATACCCTTGAGTTTTAAATAGGAACAACAGATGTCACCAGGCCACTGGAAGCCACATTTATTTCATCCAGAGAAAGGGTGCTCTGCCCAAAGCTTGGCACACTGTGAACTGTTCAGGAGACCATAAAGCTGGCTGGACATCAAATACGAGATCTTAGTTATGAGGAAGCTGTTATCATTTGAGTGAATGGGCCATGTCTCTTTTTAACTCCTCCGCTCACACCTTTTATTCTCTTGCCTTTTGCTACCCCTGGCTTTTTGTCAGTTTCAAGAAATGCCAAGTAGGAAAGGATGGCAAAACAGAAAAGCAAGTCCACGTTGATAGTCATAAGCAGGTGGATACCTGCAGGCGTGACTGGGAGAAGTTTAATCCATTCCCCATTTGCCCCAAGAGATGAGTGCTGGCAGCCAGCTATGCGTTTTGTTTTCTAAATGGGAAATGAGTAAACAAAAGAACTAAATCAGATATTGAAATGCTCTGTGGATTTAATTTTTTAAAATATCCTAAGCAGCAAAGGATGTAGCAAGGCAGCTGTCTACCTGCAAAAACAGGGAGTAACTTCAAGATAAGAAAAATCACCTAGTGAAGAACCAGAAATACCATTTGACCCAGCAATCCCATTACTGGGTATATACCCAAAGGAATGTAAATCATTCTAGTATAAAGATACACGCATGTGTACATGTGTTGCAGCACTATTCACAATAGCAAAGACATGGAATGAGCCCAAATGCCCATCAACAATAGACTGGATAAAGAAAATGTGATACATATATACCATGGAATACTATGCAGCCATCAAAAGGAACGAGATCATGTCCTTTGCAGGGATCCGGGTGGAGCTGGAAGCCATTATCCTCAGCAAACTAACACAGGAACAGAAAACCAAACACTGCATGTTTTCACTCGTAAGTGGGAGCTGAACAATGAGAAGACATGGACACAGGGAAGGGAACAGCACACACTGGGGCCTGTTGGGGGGCTGGGGAACGGAGAGTATCAGGATAAATAGCTAATGCATACAGGGCTTAATACCAAGGTGATGGGTTGATAGGTGCAGCAAACCACCATAACACATGTTTACCTATGTAACAAACCTGCAAGTCCTGCACCTGTATCCCAGAACTTCAAATGAAATAAAATTAAATATTAAGAAAGAAGGAAAGAAGGAAGGAAGGAAGGCAAGAAAGAAAGAAAAAATCTAGTGATTCTTTCTCAGCTGTGTGCCTCCTTCTTAATATTTTTAAAATCTGTTTTTGGTTTTGCTCATGTGTTTTGAGGCAGGGTCTCACTCTGTCACCCAGGCTGGAGTGCAGTGGTGCGATCACTGCAGCCTTCACCTCCTGGGCTCAAGTGATGCTCCTGCCTCAGTCTCTCAAGTAGCTGGGACTACAGGCACTCGCCAACACACCCAGCTAATTTTTTCTACTTTTTGTAGAGACGTTGGCCGGGCTGATCTTAAACTCTGGGCTCAAGGGATCCTCCCACCTCGGCCTTCCAAAATGTTGAGATTACAGGCCTAAGCCACCACCCCGGGTCCTTCTTAATATTAACAGAGCTATTTTGAACTCAGTAATGACGGGATTAATAGCCCATGTCGACAAAAACATGGCAGATAAAGTTAGCACCTTCCCTAAATTTCTCACTAACTGAGGGTCAATCGTCAAGTTACCTAAACTCTGTTTCTTAACTTTCTTTCATGACAGTAATATTTCTGATACATTGTTGGCTGAACTGTTGCAGACTTCACATATACTGTAATAAAGCTTGAAAATCACAAATTGCTATGAGAATGTAAAGCAGAATCACTACTAAGGAATTATGAAGAATAAGATTTGGGAGAGGAATCTATTGATCTTGCTAGGGGGAAAACCTCCAAAACCTTTGGAATTCTTTGGTGTGTTGTAGCAAATCAGATAATTTGTACACAAGCAAAGATTCATATTCAAAGACAGGTTAATTGTGCCTTATAAATTCTGTCTCTCTGTTTAGGAGACCATGTAAATGTTGAGAAGGTAAATTTTAAGCGATGGAAAAAATCTACTCTTTGAACTTTCATATTAGCTATATATAACATGTCCAGAAAAAAATGAATGAAGACAGAGAAACTGTTGGCTAACGAAAAGAAACATAATAATAATATCTACCTACCATTTATTGTGCATTTAACCATGTGCCCAGCAATTAGCCACATCCTTTTCATTTATTTTAATGTTCACAAAAACCCTATGGGGTAAATATTATAAATATCTCCTTTTTTTAAGTGAGAAAACTGAGCCCTAAAGAAGGCAAGCAATGTACTCAATCTCATACAATGAGTTGGCAGCAACATATATCCTAAAAGGCTTTTTTAACCTAAAGAACATTATGCAGAGCTCTACAGATTGCTAACAATTCATTACGAAATACCTCTCACAAAGTTTCACTCACATGAACTATGGTCTCCAGGGGAAGCCATGAGTTGTTAGGAAAATTCCTACAATTGTGGAGAAGGGTAAGGAGAAGAGATTTCAATTAATTGATGGTTCTTTTTTTGTTTGTTTGTGGTAGGTACTACGATGTCTGGCTTATTGGTCGTATGAAACATAAGTTACACAAAAAAATGTGTTATAAAAGAAAACTCATTGTGATCTCATGGAAAGATTCAGAAATGGGTCACCTTCGATGGATGTAATTATTTAACCTTCTTGGCTATATCACTTGGCTATTACACTGTCCAAATCTGAGTTAAATACCCAAAGAAGTCAGGAGCATCTCTTCCATAACAATCCCAATAGTTTAACTCATTTCCCATTTGCCCTGAGAATACTTTTGGAACATCATGATGTTCCATTAGGATTAGAGACAAGTTCTGTTTAGAAACAACTCCAAGAACAGTTTTTATATTTTATTTTCACATTGAAAATCATTTAGATTTGCTTCGGCCTCAACGAGCTTGTTTATGTAAAATTAAATAAACGGTGGCAGCGAGCTGCATTTATTTTTTTCCTAAATGGGAAAAGGGTTGAAGAACAGGGCACACTGTAGTCTTAATACCTGGATAGCACTTGGAAAATGAATTTGAAATATTTCTCCCAATATCGAGGCTTGAGCTCCCATTGAAAAATGCCTCCCAATAGGATTGCTCCCTCTTGACTATTTAAGCAGGGTTTTTAAGCTTAAAAAACAAATAAACAAAAGCAGAGACAAAATGGCAGTGTAAGAGGTATGATGAGGAGGCTATGGAATCTTTAATAAGCAGTTCTTTTTCCTACTCCCTGCTTCTCTTCCCAGCCTATGGAAACTACCATCCTCTCTACCTCTATGAAATCCACTTTTTTTTTTTTTTTTTGACAGAGTCTTGCTCTGTCGCCCAAGCTGGAGTACAGTGGCACAATCTCGACTCACTGCAAACTCTGCCTCCTGGGTTCAAGTGATTCTCATGCCTCAGCCTCCCAAGTAGCTGGGATTACAGGCGCCCGCCACCACACCCAGCCAATTTTTGTATTTTTAGTAGAGATAGGGTTTCACCATGTTGGCCAGGCTGGTCTCAAACTCCTGGCCTCAAGTGATCTGCCCATCTCAGCCTCCCAAAGTGCTGGGATTACAGGCGTGAGCCACTGCGCCCAGCGAAATCCACTTTGTAAGCTCCCACATATGAATAGAACATGAAATATTTTAGTTGGTTAAGGGGCACAAAAATATAGTTAGATAGAAAGAAGAAGATCGAGTAGTCAATAGCATAGTGGAGAAATTACAGCTAACAATAATTCATTGGATATTGAAAAATAACTAAAAGAGAAACTGTAACTTTGCCAACACAAAGAAAAGATAAATGTTTGAAGTGATAGATATCCAAGTTACCCTGATTGGATCATGACGCGTTGTATACGGGTATCAAAATACCACGTGTACCTCCAAAGTATGTATTACATATCTATTTCTATTTGATAGAAACTATTACATATCAATTTCTAAAAAGGAGTTTTTTCATTTTGTGATTGGAACCCCCAATGACATGTGGTACAGACTTGTCAGTATTTAAGCAACATGAGCTAAGGTACCCAAGGAAGTCACTGAAAAAAACTGCAGAAGGGTTTTCTCGGACACCAGACCCAGGCCCCCTCTGTTTTGATCTGTGCGTGTTGTCTGCAGCTAACAAGAGAGAAGACTAAAGCAGATGCTGGAATCCAGCGCAACCTCTGGAGATTCTGCTCATTCATTTCCTGAGCACCACGGATTCAGACAAGGTGGGACCACCTCACAGAGGACACAGGGGAGGCAGAGGCAGGACAGGCCAGCCCCACGGACACAAAGGACAGTGAGGATGCTGAAAACACTGCAGCCAGCACCTGAGTTCAGAGAATCCTGGAAAGTCTATTCTCCATGCATGATAGGGCACACACGCTTTTGAATAACACAGTTTAAAAGACTTAAAAGCCCAGTGAAGAACTGTGCTAAAAATAGATCTGTGCAGCAAGGTCGCCAAGCCAGCATGAAACAGAGAGAGGTCAAAAAAAGAGGAAAGAAGAAGGAGGGGCGAAGAGGTGCTGGCACCATGTACTGCCCACATGAAAGAAGCCTGGAGCCACCTGCTGCTTCATTCAGATGTTCCCAAGGAAGGTGAACTCTCTTCATTGCACATAGAAAGCACTAGGAGTTTGCTTTCTAGAAATCCAGAAGATTCCTTATATATTCCCCATATCGGTCAGGGGTTCTCAGACTAGGCTGTGCACTAGAACCTTCTAGAGTTTTCCAAAATTACCTGGTTCCTGGGCCCCACTCCTAGAGATTCAATTTGGGGCCAATATTGGTTGTTGGTTTGTTAGTTTAGTTTCTCAGTTGCGTCTAATGCACAGCCAGTGTTGAGAAATGCTGCTTGCATTGACTTGCAGATACCTTTTAAAATTTTGCATTGCCCAGGTGCAGTGGCTCAGTCCTGTAATCTCAGGGATTTGGGAGGCTGAAGTGAGAGGATCACTTGAGCCCAGGAATTTGAGGCTACAGTGAGGTATGGTGACACCACTGCACTCTAGCCTGGGTTACAGAGTGAAACCCTGTCTCTGAAAAAAAATAAAAAATGCCTTGATTACCTTTTCTTTGTGAGGTATTTTAGGCACTTTTGAAATGTTAACGAAAACATCAAAATCTACCATAATAAGCTAGAACAAAAGGATTCCCCAGAGAAACTCTGACACAGGCTTAAACTGCTTCTGTTTCCTCATTTTTATGGTGTGCATTTTTTTTCCCCATTTTAACATATTAGAAGTCAGGATGCATCTTACAGTAATGTCATTGTTTCATCACTGTGGGCCAGTTAGCCATCCTAGTAAGGCTGCCCTGACCTGCAC